>NC_000006.12:122343517-122646547 GCF_000001405.40 Homo sapiens
AAAGTGGAATAGATGGAGCACGAAGCACACATCAATCAAGATTCGAAGTTGCAAATAACAGATACCAAGCTTGATTTTAAGAAAAAGGGAAATAATTAAAAATTTACAGGGTTGCTCACATTCTCTGAATTGGAAAACAGGTAGAAACGAGGGCAAAAAAAAAAAAGCATGGCCAACCCACAAAACCCATCCAGAGAAGTCACCACTGCTTGCACCACTAAATGCTGGATGTCTCGGGTCGCTGTGCCATTGCTTCTGGCACTAGACATTGAAAGCCACAGCTGTCTCGAGAAACTCAATATTACTGCCACTTCTGCTGCCACTACTCAGCACCAAAATGGATTTTCTCCAGGGCCTGCTTCTTTGAATCAGTAGCTTTTTATCCAAAGTTGGAAGAAAATGTTTTTATCTAATTATTTAAAGAAAGTCATGTGCTCACATCCGTGATGAAAAGTACCTTGGCAAAACAAACACCAAGCATTTTCCTTCTCTATTATGCATGACAGGCTCTGTCTCTCACCAGGATGAATCACGCAGCCAATTCCAGGAATATAAGAAGGGGTTTCTGATGTTGTTCAGCCCCTCAAAAAGGGCAAATATGCATTTCAAGCAACCTGAATTTAATGAAAGTGAGTGTATAATTCAGTTAGTGTTGATTTTATTCAAATAAGTCTCAAATATTTTGACATAACAAAAGACGGAGAGCCTCTTTCTACTTTTCCACTAACTGCCTCTCAGAATCACTACCTGCAATTCAGGAAAATTACCTGATAACTCTGGAAATTATACCAATGTGTCAATCCCAGAGATGATGCAGGGTAAAAGATTAAATAAAATACAGTAGCAATTATGAACTTACAGAAAATCAGCCACCAACTCTATTTATATTTCCTTTTTTCAGGGCATTAAACTAAAATTTTATTAAATATCTAGCTTTCTGGCAAGAAATAATAAAAAAGAGATTATTGATTAATTATAATACTATCTTAAGAATTCAATTTTGATGTATTTGCCCTATCCATTTAACAATAATATATGAAAATATCTAACCAAAATAGGACTCTTGCTATATACTTAACATGTGCTAATTATTTACACAATTATTCTATCCCATCTTTATATACAATTTTGTGAGGAAATGAAGTAACTGACTTGCTGCAGTAAAAGACTTGCCAGGGATTCCACAAAAATGGCATAGCTAAGGCTCCACTCCCATTATGTCTTCACTTCAAGTTCCAACTTTGTCTAATTCCAAAGCCCAACTCTCATCAAAAAGTGTTGTAGACAAGCGCTCATCAATGGTGGACTAGATAAAGAAAATGTGGTACATATGAACCATAGAATACTATGCAGCCACAAAAGAGAATGAAATCATGTTCTTTGCAGCAACATAGATGCAGCTGGAGTCCATTATCCTAAGTGAATTAATGCAAAAACAGAAAATGAAATGCTGTATGTTCTCACTTATAAGTGGGAGCTAAACAGTGGGTACACATGGACATAAAGATGGGAAAAATTGACACTGGGGACTCCAAAAGCGGGTAAGGATGGAGGGGAGTAAGGGCTGAAAAACTACTATTGGATACTATGTTCGCTATCTGGGTGATGGGTTTACTAGAAGCCTAAACCCCAGGATTACATGACTTACCCATGTAACAAACCTGCACATATACCCTGAAACAACAACAAAAAAGTTACTGTACAGTAAGTTCAGCAAAGTTTCCCGCTCCACTTTTGTTTTGTTCCTCACTCGCTCCTTATTGTTAAAATGAACTACATCAAAACTATAGCAACAAAACCTGAAATTGTGACTGAAAGTATTTATGCAATCAGAGACCCCTCTAAGATGTGCAAGGCCTTGGGAAAATATTTTTGCAGAACCCCCATCTACATTAATCATTCGACTTTTAAATATGCTACAAAATTCATGGGTCGCTGCAAAGATTAGTGACTTCTTGATAAAGATTTGGAATAACAGATACTTAGCTGTTTATTGTCCAATAAGTTCTTGGGAAGATTCTTCATAATATCCAGGTGCCATCTCTTCCTGTTCAGGTCTCAGAACAAGCCTTGTGTGTTTTTTATTGTCAAAATGTGCTAATTTTGTATTTCTCACTGAAAGACTGTATTATCACAAGGCCATGGTTTTCAGAGCCCGTTTGTATGAAAACAACACAGATCTTCTTGCTTCTGCAGCTTCCTTAGTAACATTTACTTAATGGTAGTTTTTACTCACGATGCTGAATTATACCTCATGCTGCTGTGGTTATTTTCTTCCAATAATTCTCTCAAAGGTTGCTAATATTTTTCTCAAAGAATGATGATGACCACAAATACATCTTATCCAGAGTATGCAGGAAATTTGAGCAATAATTCTTTTTTAGGTCATGAAATTTTTTGTTCAGAATTTTATAGTGTAAAAGTAGGACAACACATCTTTTAACAATGTTGACCACACTCCTGCCTTCTACACGTCACCCCATCAGGGAGGATAGTCAAGAGACCCATGGGTGACACAAGAAGAATGGTTCCATTTATACTAGGAATATGCATCCCTTTACTCCACACGGCTTAGGACTAACTCAAGAGAGACCCACTGACATTGTATAGCAAGGGTCTCAAAATCTTTGAGGACTGCCTAATACAGAACAAGGAGCCTGAGAACCAGTTGGGGTGGCCACATTGGTGTCATGGCAGGGATGGAAAGGCACACAGGATGCCTACAATCCTACCCTGCACACAAGTGTCAAGCTGTACTATGTGCAACAAGAAGTTGTTTGGTTTTATAAATGTTTTGTTTGTTGATGCCTCTCTGTGTCATTATCCCTGACTTAAAATAGGTTTTCTAAAGAGAATTGTAAGTGTAAGGAGTTCTGGAAGTCACAAATTCTCTGTAAATACATCTCCAATCTTAGTGAATCTGAGTGCATTATTGTTACTGTTTTCAGTAGTTCTCTTAACCCCCAGTTTGTATATCCTGCTTCTCCTGTTAAATTATATTTAAAATTTAGCAACTGGCTAATATCATACAATGATCAATATTATGATAAATGCCTGCATGATGCTGCCTCAGAGCAAATTATTGGTTAAACAAACACTTGGGTCAAATACAAAAATCAAGAAACACAATATACTAAGTATTTGCTGAGTAATCCTATCTGTGGCTGGACAAATATATATGCCAGCTGACATCTGTTTTAATCTATCCTCCTAGATATAAATTGGTAGTTTGACCCTATATTTTTGTCATTTTTTTTGTGCTGCTACTCACTGTAATCAAAGCATTCTATGACAAGAATCATTGGGAAAAAATAATGTCTGTTGGAAACGATTTAGACCAAATCATGGAGGAAGGAGAAGAGACGTAAAGTGTAGAGTTAGTAATGTTGAAAGGCTTTTATTTTTATTGTCTCTTATGTTTATAGCAAAAACTATATTTAGCACAATACACTGAATTTTGTTCAGTGTGTTTTATGTTGCCTTTTTTCCCTATAGACCAATATAGTTAATGTTTTATCAGAAATTTATCATTAGTCTTTTTCAAGATGTGATTTAATTTTTTCTTAAGTAACAGAATTTTATCTAGCCAAAGTCATCTCTGATTTAATAATGAAAATAACATGAAAAGTAAAACAGGATCTACTTAACAAATTTAGATAGCAGTTTTCTATTCCATAAAGGGAAGGGTAGATGAGAGGCTATGTGTAGCTCACACAGTGAGATACTTTCTGTAGTTAATTAAATGCTTATTTATATACCATTACAGATAGCTGAAGCATATGAAGAAAAAGTCAGAAGTATTTCCAACAAAAATTCTTTTAATTTTTGATACAGGCCAAGTTCTTCATCCTTGAGAAATAGTTTGTATAGAGAAGTGTCCTAAATTCTTCCAGCAGTGCACTTCTTAGCTGCTCCAAGTAATACATCTTGTCCTTGTACGTGAGAAAGTGTTTAGTAAAACCAGATGGCCAACTGTTTTCCTGTCTTGAAGCACTTAAAACTGGCAAGAATAGATTTAAGGTCAAAAAAGTTACAGATCCTAACGAAATGAACACACACTTGAAAATTCTAGTACATCCATAATTAGATTATTTTAGTTATTCTCCACCCAAATCTTATTAAGTCACAGTTTGTTATCTGAAAAATATTATTCTAACACACATTGAGCTCAAATCTCCTCCATCCCTACTTTTGTTGAAAGTCTATACAAGATCTACACTATCATTTCAAGCACTAAAAATCCAATGAAAAAATAAAAATAGATTCTCAACCCAATGTTTAACCAACTCATATTTATTATTGGATATCCAAATATCACAATTGAATATTCAACTCAGAAAGATCCATTTACTTGCCAGGTCCCAGCTCAACTATAAAATCTGCACACAAAGATAAGCTGATACTCTAGGCCAGCGCTTGCCAAACGAATCACCTAGAGATCTTGTAATATGAAGAGTGGAGCCTGAGGATCCGCATTTCTAATAAGTTTCCAGATGACATCAAAGCTGCTGGACTGTGGGTCATGTTGCACAAAAAGCTTCCAGAGCTAGACAATGCTCAGAACTCGACTGCTTCCATTCCTCTCAAATTCTCCCATGATTTGTTGCCAGGCTACTTATTCTCTTCTCCATGGCCTGTCTTTCATGATGCTTTGCCCCAACTCCCCTTCTATTAGCCATCGGTGCATCCACTGGGTTTGTAGCTTTGTTCATCTCTCTAGCCTCCATGTTTCTAATTTCAGACAAATAGTTCCCCTTCTAGTTTCTGGCCTTGGAATCCCTTCCTTCATTTGACAACACCTCCAGTGCTCCTCATAAGTTAACCAGTGTCTAGACAATTAAAGTGGGAAGAAAGAGTGAAAGAGAACCCTAAAGTCCCAAACGGAAGTACAAGATAAAATCAATGCCATTGGGAATCTGAAATCCATTTGAGATCAGACAATTAGGCCTAAAAATCTGTTACAAAGATAACATATAGGGGTCAAGTGATCAACCAGTACTTAGGAGTTGAGAAAAGAGTACTTAATGACAGCAGACTAAAGTAGGGGAGCTTTATGAGAAATATTGGGGATAAACCCCACTTTAAAAGTTGTGTAGGGGTTAAAAAGGTAAACTGATGTGAGACAATTTAAAAGGTAAAGAGAGAGGATAACATAAACAAATGTGCAAGAGTAGAAATATCTAAGCAAATAGGTGAGGTGATCAGTGAGTACACCCATCAAAGAGAGGCAGAGAGCCTAACATGAATTTCCAGAATGCCAAGCTAAAAAAAGTTGTAGTTCTATTTGTAGGTGGTAGAAGGCACTGAGGTTATAAGGAGTGGGATGACTAGGGTTATCCCACTTCCCACTTTGCCTAGGACAGTTCCAGTTCACACCACTGTCCAGCCATAATTATAATCATTATAAATACCCCTCTTTCACGCTTCAAAATGATCCAGTTTGAACAATAAACTATATGGTATCCTAGGCCAGGTGCAGTGGCTCACGCCTTAATCCCAGCACTTTGGGAGGCCAGGGCGGGCAGATCACCTGAGGTCTGGAGTTTGAGACCAGCCTGACTAACATGGAGAAACCCCATCTCTACTAAAAATACAAAATCAGTGGGGCGTAGTGGCAAATGCCTGTAATCCCAGCTATTCAGGAGGCTGAGGCAGGAGAATCACTTGAACCCAGGAGGCAGACGGTGCAGTGAGCCGAGATTGCGCCATTGCACTCCAGCCTGGGCAACAGGAGTGAAGCTGTCTCAAAAACAACAACAACAACAACAACAACAACAAAAAACTATATGGTGTCCTTGAACATAATGGAATTGGTATTTCACCTAAGTGGATTAGAACAGTGTCCCAAAATGCCTAGTTGATAAAGGAAGGATAGGACAGGAGGTTAAAAGAGCATTGCATTTGACATAGTTATGCTGATTATTGCATGTCAATCAAGAGTTTTATTGTAGTTACACATTATAGATCTTGGATTTAGAAAACATAGATAAACTAACAAAATACCATGCTACTTCATAAATGCAGTTTATTTTATAATTAGAACTTTTCAAGACATAAAGCAAAGAGTTGGAAAATTAATAAAGGGGTTTAAAGAAGTGGCCACTGAGTATGATGAGAATGAATTATGAAAGCAGTGGCAGCTCAGGGGGTGTGGGTGGAGAGCTGCTTAGGATAACATCTGGCAAGAAATAAGAGGTTTGATGCTAGATACATTTTAGACAGAGAATACACAGAACTTAGTACCTGCCTGCCTACAAAATGCCAGAGAGAAGTAGTGAAGGATGAGTTTTGAGTTTTAAATTTGGATGCCTGAAACAAATAAGAAATGCAAGAGGGACTTCAGAGAAGGGGAAAGGGGAGTTCAGCAGATGAGATGATGGCATGATCTTCAAGTGGACCTACCATACCCAATAGGTACCTCAATTAATCCTTTAGTTTAGGAGATGAATTTTTCCCTTTCACTTTTTCATTTATAAAAATCATATCTGTATTGTCTGTTTTCTCACACATACGTCTAGATTTAGAGGAAAAAACTCTGAAAATCAACTCTCACTTTTTGTAGTGATGCCAGATTTCTAGCTTATATTCCTAGCTTCAGATTCATGGAGATTCAAAACATTGATGTAACTTGACAGTGCTTTTTTAAGAATTAAGTGATCATCACCAGAACAATTAGTGATTTAAGTTATGTTTCAGACTATATGACCTTAGATATCAAGCTGTGCCCCAATTCAACAATATAGAAGAAAGCAATTTTCATTAAAACTCTAAATGAAAGAAAAAACTGGTTTAATTTGCATATTATGATTTACATAATACAAAGATTAATACGGATTCTTCTAGACCTAGACTCAATTTACGTTTGCTATGTATTCCTGCTTTACTATTTCTCCTTTCAGTTACTAGGCCAGACACAACTGAAATTTGGTACTGCCTGAACAAGAATTGTAAAAGGGATTGTATGAGGCAGGGTGTTATCTCAACTACTGAAGTTTACTTGGAGCTAGTGACTTACATTTATCTGTCTATTCACTTGCCCTACACTGATGGCTTTTGTTAGTGTCTTAAGGCCAGGTTTCTCAAACCTTAAACTCTCTGGTCTACCTTGTCCTTGGGCATATGTTTCCTCTTGAGTCCTGCCAGAGTATCTGACTTTCATATTCAAGTGTTCCCTGACTGTTGTTTTTCATCCTAGTTTCTAACATCATTTCACACTAAATTTTTTGTCTTTAAGGGTGCTTCTGGACTCTAATATGATGACCTTTGGATTCAACCAAAATCATAATTTTAAAGTAGGAAAAAAACATGTAGCACACAATAATTTCATAGCTGATGAAACAGCCCAGATAGATTAATTAACTAATCAAAATCATAAAGCAAATTTGTGGCAGATTTAAGACCAAGTGTTGTGTCTTCCAGTTTAAGGTTTTATCACAAAAGCTTCTTTATTCCTAAGCTGTGGCTCCAATGCTGAGACCACATTTAACAATAATTGAGTTTTAATAATTAGCATATACATCATCCTATCATTCCTATCCTGTTACTAAACTTCATTTGCAAGATACAGCTAATTTCTTTTCACCTGTAAAATTAAGATATTCCCAGGGTGAAATATAGCTATTGAAGCAATTCACTGAAAGCAAATTAAGTTCAAGCAACAGAGAAGTAACATATTACCAATTTGGAAAGACATGGGGAATCTAAATAATGCTGAGTAGATATCAAAATAAAAATGTAGATACATAGAGCTTAAATATATTGTCACCTTAGTAATGTTCCTAGGGAACTACTACTATCAAGGAGAAATTTCATGGGGTTTTATAAGAAGTTCTAATTTTAAGATTTCCCAGGAGCACAGAACTAATTAGTTTGTATGGTATTGACTCAACACTATTTCGAAAGAATAATTCCACATCCTAAATTGCCAACATTAATGCTTTATCAAGCTGAAAAGTCATTTGGCCTACAGATTTCAATTCCTTTTAAAGATAAATTAAACAAACAACACAAACACAATCTTCCAATCCTGACAGTTGTTGCTACAAAAAGGCAGCGGGGAGAATGGGATAAAAATCACAGTAGAATTCCAGAGTCTCAAATGTACATCTTGTTCCAGCAACAAGCCACACGGATTTTGCTCTTCCTCACTGAAAACCAAAACACTAATTTAGGTGCTCTAAAGTGAACATGGTTTTTGTGTAAAGCATTTATTGGAAGCTTGACATAGAAATAAATCAAGACATGGTTTTTAAAATGTTTTACACACAAAAAAATGAGGATTCATAGACCAAGTAAATGTATTCTTTTTCTCTACCTTTTCCATAACAAGTCCCAAAAGAGAAGAACAGGCATAAATAATGAAGTGGGAAGAATAAAAATGTGAACATCTGACCTTCCAAATCCTCTACAGCAATATATCAGTATAAAGGAAACACAAAAACAGCTCAGCTTCTCAGGTACATAGAGGAGATGCCTTTTCCTTAAAACCTTTTGTGTGTGCATCTTTCAATAAAGTATATAAGAATATAAGTAACAAGATTTCTTATAAAATACCTTTAGAAAATTTTCAAAATGAACTCAATCAGAAAGCTTATTAGTTTGTTCGTTTTTTGCTTTGAAGAGAGTGGCTATAGACTTCTGAGTTAATGAGAAGAAGATATTTCACATTTATGCCCAACATGACTAATTGTTATGTCTGTGTTGCATATTGTCTCCGTCACTAAGTTACAGTGGCATGATGATTTTTTTCTTACAGTTGTAATCTCTCCAAAACTCATGGTAATGACAGAAATCCTGGGTATATAGGTCAATCTCCCTTGTTACGCTTCTTTAAAATCCTAGGAGGAAAAGTAATGCAATTCATTGAACAACTACTATGTTCCTGCTTTGATGTTAAGGGCATTAAATACAATCTTTACAGCAACTTTAGAAAGTAGATACTATTGACCTTCTGTTACCAGGGAGACTATCATAGCTCAGGGAGTAGCCAAATGGAAGAATGAGAATTCAAATCTAAATTTTTCTTATTCCGAAACCCATTCTCTCTCAACAATACTGTACTGCCGCTAGTAACTGCGGTTGGTCAACCAAATATGTGAATTAGACAATGATTTATTGCATTTACTTAAAAAACTATATAAGCTAATTTAGTTGCATCTATTCATATCTAGAGAGAAAATAGTTGTATAATTATTTTAACAGGCAATTCTCTGAAAGCACTATACTTTTTTATTAAAATATCGCTGGTGTGATACACAACTAATAAACTCTTCTAAGTAATTTAGAAAAAAATCCAAAACTATTCAATGTACCATATTTCTGAATATGTATTTAATTGCTTTCTCATTTTCCCCCATATTTCCCTGTTAAAAGGGTTAATTAGTGGTAAGATAATTTCACAGATGAAATTCCACAGAACTGTCACAAGATGCAACTTCAAGTTGGTTTCTATAATAGATGTGTTTGCTCCAACCTTCAATTTTGAATAAGTATATAAGGAAAAGCTAACCAGAAACTTCAGTGCAGCTTGTGGCCAAGGAACAGTGTGTATTTTTGTGTGACACTAACTAGCACATAAAAAGAGCTAATGTTTTGGCTTCATTGAAATTGATCTGTCATCAAGGGAACTGTCTGACTCAAATAATCTATGAACTCTTGATGACCTCTCCTAAAACCCAAGGGTTAGCTATATGTATTAGTTTCAAATACAGTAATATATTGTTACCAAAAACCTCCATCCAAAACATAAAAATGTTAGAAAAATTCTTTTAAATACACTTCCAATTCAGAATTACTTTGTGATTTATAGTAAGAGAATATAAAGTTTGTTTGCAACTTTATCATTTGAGATGGCAGTAATCCACATAATTATCAGAAGCTTCCTAAAAGGAGATCTCCACTCCTTTAAGGCTCTGAACTTTCCTTTACTTCAGAAAGGAGTGTTTGGCATTAATTTCATCTCCCTCAAAGTCACATTACTGTTGAGTGAAATAACAAAACTAGATTATTTAAGCATAGCAGCCTGCTAGGCAGCACTCCTGAGTGGTTACCACAGACCATACCTCAGGTGGCTATTGTGAGGCCCCAGGCCAGAAGCAAGGTAATTCACAAGAACTGCATAAATCAACTGAAAATCATTTTGCTTGGCTTTCATATTGCTCTCATGAAATAGAATTAATCTACCCTAATAAAGGAAAATCTGCTATGGGTGGAAATTTTCCTGTGCTTTCTCTTCATGTTCATGACAGCCTTTGGTTTAAAACATACCACAGGAGCCATGTATAAAGTTCTACAGCTTAAAAGTGAAATGAACTTGCACCTTGTTTCTGGTTACTCTACTGAGTAAATCATCTAAGGACAACAGAAATATTGTCAAAGTCACACATGTGACAAGTAAAGCAAAAAGACCATATGTGCAGTGCGGTAAAGTAAGGGAAGGGTTTTTTTTTGGGGGGGTGGGGAGGGCAGGGGGGTTGGGTGGCGGCCAAGTCTCACTCTATTGCCCAGGCTGGAGTGCAATGGCATGATCTCGGCTCACTGCTACCTCCACCTCCCAGGTTCAAGTGATTTTCGTGCCTCAGCCTCCCGAGTAGCTGGGATAACAGGCGCCCACCACCACACCTGGCTAATTTTTTGTATTTTTAGTAGAGACGGGGTTTCGCCATGTCAGACAGGCTGGTCTTGAACTCTTGACCTCAGGTGATCCACCTGCCTCAGCCTCCCAGTGTGCTGAGATTATAGGCGTAAGCCACTGTGCCCAGCCAGGAAAGTTATTTCTTAAACATTCAGAAGAAAAGTGTCATCCTCAGATAAGTGTCCTTGTCAGTGGAGAAGGCTAAATTCTCAACTCAAATTTTGAGTGATCACTTGGGTATCTCAAAAGCATTATCAATGAGCAGCATACAACTGTATACTTTGTCAAGGAATCTGACTTCTGACCAACCTACCTGGAATTTAGAAATTTTCATTTAAAAAAATGAAAATGCTTAAATATACAAAAAAGAATTTGATGATATTAATAGTAGATACCATTTCAGAATGTACCAGGAACTTGGCATTCATTATTTCATTAAGTCATTCATTACTTCATTCATTGCTTCATTCACTTGAATTTTGTCAATATTCGCAGAGAATTTAGTCTAATTAATTAGTAGTCCTAAAATAGTGTCAGGCACGTAGTGGATGTTTAAGAATTGTTGAAGGTTTGACCAATGCCAAAGTTGAAGGCACATTTTCCCCGGGCCATGCTAATTCTTCAAAGATGAGAAAAGATCAAGAGGAAGGGAAAAGAGGGGAGGGGAGGGGAGAGAAGGGGAGGGGAGGGGAGAGAAGGGGAGGGGAGGGGAGAGGAGGGGAGGGGAGGGAAAAAGGAAAAGGAAAGAGAAAAGGAAAGGAGTACCATCTCCTTAGTGAGCAAAAGGAAAAACAAATCTATATTTTCAACTATTTAAAGCCATTAAGTAGTTATTTGTATATCCCATCCCCGTCTGGCTAATGAAGTTGTAATTAAAACATGGTGACAGGCCACTAAAAGTATTTAATGAAAATCATTTTTATAGATTTTTAGGCCTTAAAAAAGGGAGGCTTTAAATTGTAATGACGCAGAAGTTAAGGCAAAGTTAGATTACTTACTCAAGGTCACTATATAAACAGCAAAAATTAGGTCATTTGATCACTCAGTTTTTAAATGATTACTAGATGCCACACAATGCTCTAAGTGCTGGACTTTTAAGTATAGCACAGTACCTCCCTCAAGAAGTGTATAGGTTTGTGAGTAAGACGCTAAAGTAGCTAAGCAATTAATATAAAATATGTTAGAAAACATAGAAGAACACCTTCATGACCTTGAGATGAGTGAGGGCTTTTTAATCATGATGCAAAAAGTCGTAATGATGAAGAAACAATCATAAATTGAACTATAATACAATTAAGAATTTCTGTTCATAAACCATCCCCACCTCTGCCAAAGGATAATTAAGAGAGTGTGATGGTTCATTTTATTTGTCCACTTGACTGGACTAGAGACATTTATCTGCTTCTGCCCTTTAACATTGGTGTTCCGTGTTTTTGGACCTTTGGACTCAGACCAGGACTTAGCACCATTGGCTCCCCTGGTTCCCAGGCCTTCAGACTCAGACTTTAGATTTTGACTGAATTACACCACTGGCTTTCCTTGTTCTCCAGCTTGTAGACAGCAGTAAGTGGGACTTCTCAGCCTCCATAATCAGGTGAGCCATTTCTTATAATAATGAAATAAATATATCCTATTGGTTCTGTTTCGCTGGAGAACTTTGACTAATACAAAGAGTAAAAAGAAAATATCTCAAGTTATAGGAGATATAACTAGCAGGGAGGCCAAGGTGGCTAGAGTTTGCAAAGCAGCGTACTGGAAAGGAGGGAGTTATACATAGAGAGTTCCAGAAATCTGCAGATTCCCCTTTTTGTCTTCAACTAAGTACCAATTAGCACATGACAATGAGAAAACTACCTGTGGCTGGAGAAAGAACCATTAGAAAGGATTCAAGGAAACAGTGTTGGAGTTTACAAAGAGCCTGGGACAGTTGCTAATTTCCCCAGCCTGAGAGAAAACTCATAATTCATGGGGCATTGAGTAGAGTACTCAGAAGAATTTAGCTTCAGTGGTAGGACAAAATCATTTCTAGAAAAAAGGCTGCTCTGGTTCTGTCTAACAAATATTAAAAGCAAGATCTGAATGTATCAAAGTGTTTCCAAGTAACTTTAACTGTGGCCCAGAAAAAAAAGCTCAGGAATAATATTTATAAGAATATAAAAATGGGCCAGGCAGGGTGGCTCATGCCTGTAATCCCAACACTTTGGGAGGCCGAGGAGGGAGGATCACTTGAGGCTAGGGATTTGAGACCAGCCTAGTCAACATAATAAGACCCCCATCTCTCAAAAAAATTTAAAAATTAGCTAGGCATGGTGGTGCGTGATTGTAGTCCTAGCTACTTGGGAGACTGAGGCAGGAGGATCACTTGATCCCAGGGGTCAAGAATACAGTGAGTTATGACCGTGCCATTGCACTCTAGCCTGGGTGACAGAGCAAGACCCTATCTCTAAAACAAACAAACAAACAAACAAACAAAAAGGAATACAAAAATATCCAAAACCCTTCAAGAAAAAAATTTACAACGTCTGGTGTCAACTAAAGAAAAACTCAGGATTAAAATCAGTTTTATTCATAGTCTTACTGAGGATTGGAACCAGGAGAGTCTTTCAGAGAGCTTCTGTTTGACTGCTCCAAAGCAATGTATCAGCCCACGGCTTATATATCAGGTGGTGGAGGTTCCGCATGTGCTCCAATGTTACATCAAACATGCTCAGAAATTACTTTAGAACAAAATCATCAAAGTTCAGGTGTCAGAGTACATCTGGTTACAGATTACAGATCTGGTTATGTACAGGAAGAAGCAAGGGCTAGGATCATTGAACTTATTTTAAAATGCAGTGATTCAAGCAAGAGATGGAGGAACCTATGCTCTAACCTGCTTATTGTCTTCAGGCATTCTTCCAGAGGGCCAGTTCAGTCACTGAATCAGGGACTTTGTAAAATTCTGCAGACAAGGGAAAATAAAACACAAGGCAAGCAGAATAAGCAAATATGTTTTCTTATGTTTGCTACTTTGTCTCATCCTGGCAACCAACCAAAAATTACCCAACATGCAAAGACGCAGAAAAATATAACAATAACGAAGGTGAAATCAATCAAAATATACCTGGAAATGACACAGATGTTAGAATTAGTACACAAGGACATTAAAACAGTTATCATCAAAAAAGAATAATAAAAATTCTTAACTAATCCTAAGAAATCAGAAGATTTAAAAATCAAAGAATAGGTGAGAGAAAAAATAGCAAAAGGAATATTTAACACAAGAACAGAAAACCAAACACCGCATGTTCTCACTCATAAGTGAGAGTTGATCAATGAGAACACATGGACACAGGGAGGGGAACACTACATACCAGGGCCTGTCGGGGGCTGAGGGGCTAGTCGGGGGATAGCATTAGGAAAAATACCTAATGTAGATGATGGGTTGATGGGTGCAGCAAACCACCATGTCATGTGTAAACCTATGTAACAAACCTGCATGTTCTGCACATGTACACCAGAACTTAAACTATAATTTAAAAAAAGAAAGAAAAATTTATACCCAGTCATCTCAAGAATCACATTATGCCTGTAATCCTAGCACTTTGGGAAGTGAAGGCCATGGCCTTCACCATGGCCAACATGGTGAAACCTTGTCTCTACTAAAAATACAAAAATTAGCCAGATGTGGTGGCACGTGCCTATAATCCCAGCTACTGGGAGGTTGAGACAAAAGAATCACTTGAACCTGGGGGACGGAGGTTGTAGTGAGCCAAGATCGCACCACTTCACTCCAGCCTGGGCAAAACAACGAAACTCCACCTCGGGGAAAAAAAAAAAAAAAATCGCATTAAATGAAAATAAACACTCCAATTAAAGGCAGAGATTGTAAATTAGATAAAGAAGGAAGGTGTAAATACAAGTTGTTGAAAGGAAACTTGGTTTAAATTCCATGAGGAAACAAATAGGTTAAAACTAAAAGAATGGAAGAAAAATATATCATGCTGAAACATCAAAAGAAAGCAAAGCAGATGTCAGAGCAAAGAAATATTACCAGAAATTAAAAGATTTATTTCACAGTGTTAAAAGAATAAATTCGTTAAGAGAATATAACAATTCTAAGTTTTTATGCACTTAACTTATGAATACATAAAAATGCACATAGCAAAATGTGAAGGAACTGCCAGAAGAAATTAGACAAATCTAATTCCAATAAGAGATTTCAGCTTCAGTTTCTTGATACTGATATTAAGTACACAGAAAATCCATAAGAATATAGAAGATTTGAACAACACTTTCAATCAATTTGAAGTAATGCACATGTACAGAATACTCAGACAAATAATAGCAGAATTCTATTCATTTCACCTGAACACATAACATTTATCACAACAGAACATATCTGGGAAAGAAAACAAGTCTCAATAGATCTTTAAAATTTCAAATTATGCAAAATATGCTCTCTGTAACCACAATAGAATAAAATTGGAAATCAGTTACAGAAAAATGTCCAGAAACATTTTTTTTCTTTTCTTTCTTTTTTCTTTTTCTTTTTCTTTTTTTTTTTTTTTGAGAGGTAGTCTTGCTCTGTCGCCCAGGCTGGAGTGCAATAGCGTGATCTCAGCTCCCTGCAACCTCTGCCTCTGGGTTCAAGTGATTCTCCTGCCTCAGCCTCCCAAGTAGCTGGGATTACAGATGCCTGCTACCACGCCCGACTAATTTTTGTATTTTAGTAGAAACAGGGTTTCACTATGTTGGCTAGAATGTCTCGAACTCCTGACCTCAAGTGATCCGCGCACCTTGGTCTCCCAAAGTGTTGGAATTACAGGTAAGAGCCTCCGCCACCAGCCCAGAAACTTTTTAAATTATTTAAAAACTAAATAATACATTTCTAAACACCCTATGGGCCAAAAAGATATCATAAAGGAAACTTTAAAATACTTTTTACCTAAATGAAAATAAAAATACAGTTTACTCCGATTTGTGAAATATATCTAATGCAGTATTTAAAGGGAAATTTACAGCCTAAACATTCATATTAGGGGGAAAAAAGTTCTCAAATCATTGACCTTAGTTTCCACCTTAAGAAACTAGAAAAAGAAGAGAAAATAAAACACCAAGTAAGCAGAAGAAGGGAAATAATAAAGATAGGAGATGAATAAAATAGAAAGTAGAAGACTGATTGAGAAAAGCTAATGAAACCAAAGCTGGGTTTTTTAAAAAGAAGATTAATAAATTTAATAAACTTCAAGGTAGACTGATGAGGAAAAAGAGAGAGAGAAGAGGCAAATACCAACATCAGGAGTGGGAGAAGTGATATTTGTACAGATTCTAAAGATACTAAGTGAATAAGGAATATTATGAAGAACTTTATGTCTATAATTTCAACAAGATAGATAAAACGAATAAATTCCCTAAATGATATTAACTACCAAGACTCACTCCAGAAGAAATAGATAACCTGAATAGCCATATAGCTATTAAAGAAATCAGAATTATCAATACAAATCGTCCCACAAAGAAAACTGGATTTTATCATCAATATCTTCCTCTCCTCATATCTAATTACTAACCTGTGCCTGTCAATTTTTCTTTGAAATTTCCCCTTATCTCAATCCCTGTCTTCTACTACTACCTGGCCAGAGCCTTTTTCAACTTTTGCCAGAATTGCATAATATCTTCTAAGCTGTTATTCTGCTTGCTTCCTTTCATGGTAAAAAATATATTATTTAAGGGTATTTCTTTGATTCACCTGCTTAAAACAATTCCAGGCTTCCCTCGTTCAAGAGTAGCAGTCTCAATTCTGTTAGGAGCCCATTTTTTCACAGGTCTGTCACATTTGTGAAATGAAGGACTGACTGACCTCTTTTTCAGATTATTTTTTCAAGGGTGCTTATATAGAAAATAAATATAGTGTCTCCTTTCAAAGCAAATGGCAGGTTTGCTGAAGGCTTTGAAAGACAGAGATAGTTTCTCTAACTAAAACAAATGGTAGGCATATTACTTTCCAGTATAAAATATTCAGGTCTCCCTAACCTCTGGGATACTCTCCTGCAATTATACCTAGTATGTGTGCAGGTGTCATCAGGCCCTCTTTGTATCATCCTATAGGAATTAGGGCTCAAGGAACCAGCACAAAAAAATGCCAATACTCTGGCTATTTTTATTTCTGTAATAAACCGTTTTTAATCTCTGACTCGGGAGTTTCGTATTTTATACCAGCATTCTTGAAACTGTGGTAGACTAACCTTTTAGCTAATAAATAGTGTAAAATTTCAGAATCTTTACAGTTCTTCACAATTAGAATCACCTAGAGAGACATTTAAAAACACCAGTACCCAGGTTTTAGCCATATCAACTCAGAGCCTGTGGAAGTAAGCCTTGGGCACTGGCTATTTTAAAGCTCCCCAGGCAATTCTAATGTGCAGCCACATTAGAGTAAGCTACAAGGCCCTCTTACATTCAGGGCTCTCTAAAATCTGACTCGTTTGTTTCTCAAACTCATTTTCCAAGTGGAAAAATTAGAAATAAAGGAAGAGACTAAGCTGGAGAAAGAGAAACATTTCACAAGAGAAAACTGAAATATAGAAGACAGGATAGACAGCTACAATGGAGAAAATGAGATTCTGAAAGTGAGAATAGAAAGAATGCATCCAGAACTGTCTTCTGTTAAAAAAAAAAAAAAAAAAAAGCAAGAGAGAGATTTCTAAAAAGCTCCTTGGGGCCAATGACATCGGAAAGAGAGAGAGGTGGAAGGAGGAGGAAGAACCACCACTGCGAGCTCGCCCCCTGGTCCACCAGAAAATAGAGAATGAACAGCCGATTGAGCCCCAAAGGCAGGCCCAGGGATCCCCTACCGTGGTGGAGCACACTTCATATAGTGCCTACACCCCGACTAAGTTGCGGGAGTTAGGCAGTGTCGGCAGCATCCGGGGAAGCCCCTACCTGCCTGGATGCTCCGCCTCTGGGAAGAAGGAGCTGAGAGTATTTCCTTTTCTGCAGCCAAGATGGAAAAGTTGGCTTATATCACAACTCACCCCCACCCCATCAGCCGTTGCAGGTGAGCAGGTGGTTGGCACAAGGGCAAGGTGACCACACCCTGACTGAATGGCTGATGGCAGCCATACGGACGGTGTGGAAGGATGCTGGAGAAATACCAGAAACTGTGAGTAAATGACAATCATATGCAAAGCTCGTGCAGGTAATTTAGGAGATGGGTATGCGGCAGGCTATGTTTGATTTAAATACCGAGAGAGCCGTATGATGAACGCTTTACCTCCCACATGAGGTACCTTGTGTTGGGCTCTGTACCCCTGAGTGCCCTCGGCTCTCTGACCACTGTCCTCACTCCATACGCTGTCCTTGTCATGTACATGAGGTGACTACTACCATGGCAGCCCTCAGGGAAGCAGAAAGCCAGCGGCAGCAGCAGGGAGTCTGTGCCATAAAGAAGGGGAAGGTATCCCTCCCACTGGCAGCCATCTCAGGGGACAAAAAGGGGCCCCAGTAGGTGACACGCCCGCAGATGTGGATTGATCTGATATTGGCTGGGGTTGTTCTGGAGAAAATTGATAGGCAACGCAATGAAGTGCTGTTAACTTTGTGGAGGCAATTGTCCTCGGAGCAGCAATTCTGGAAAATGCCCAAGAGGGGGCGGGACAATGCTGCCCCACCCAGTCCTGCCCGGATGCTCCAGCTCAAGGATTACTTGCAGACAGGCAGAGGAACAGAGCCTTTTGTGTTTGATTAGGGAACTGGCCAAGATGCCCGGCTTGGGGGGACACTGGATGACCAGAGGCCACATGTGGAATTGGCAATCCACTGGTCTCCCACCAATATACAGTAGATACTGGCACAGATTGTAGCCTCATCTATGGGAACGTGGATAAGTTTCTGGGCAAGGCTGCATACATAGACCACTATGGAGGCCAGTCAGTAAAAGTGAAACCTGTATCTCTGCACCTCAGTATCAGCCGCTTGGCTCCCCACTTATACACTACATATGTCTCTCATACCAGAATACATTCTGGGGGTGGACATTTTGCACAGTCTAGACTTACACACTATGGACAGAAAATTCAGACTCCAAGTACATGGGGTAAAGCTGGTACTACAGGGACATACACATCACCAGTCCCAGGTTCTGCCACAATCCCAGCGGGTTACCTCCACTCATCAATACAGCTTGCCAGGTGTGCATACAGAGATAACTGAGACTATTCAGAAGTTAGAAGAGGCATAGAGAGTGCATGGCACCCACAGCTCCTACAATTCTCTAGTATGGCTAGTCAGAAAGCCTGATGGGACTTGGTGGATGACAGTAGACTATCGAGAACTACGTAAAGTAACACCCCCTTTACATGCAGCTATCCTGTCTACCACAGATTTGATGAAATGCTTGATGATGGAATTGGGACAGTAACACTATGTAGTGGGCTTGACTAATGCATTCTTTTCAATTGACCTTACTCCAGAAAGCTGGGAACAGTTTGTTTCACATAAGAAGGGCGACAATGGACTTTCACAGTGTTGCCGCAGGGCTATGTGTATAGCCCCAACATATGTCATGGTCTCATTGCCACAGATTTAGCTGCCTAGACATGTCTGAAGGGAATCTGCCTATTCCATTATATTGATGCTATTATGTTAACCTCTGATTCTGTTGTAGATTTAGAATTGGCAGCAGCCCTCTTGCAAAAATCTTTGGCAGCATGCCGTTGGGCCATCAACGAATCCAAGGTCCAAGGTCCTGGATTGTCTGCCACATTCTTGGGCGTTATCTGGCTGGGTAAGACGAAAGCCATACCAGAGGCCATCACAGACAAAATTCAGGTACATCCCTGGCCCACCAAGATAAGGCAGCTAAAGACCTTTGTGGGCCTCCTAGGATATTGGTGGACATCCGTGCACCATTTAGCTCAAATGATAAAACTGTTGTACCGGTTGACAAAAAAGGGGGCTACGTGAGATTGGGATTATGACATCCCAATGAGACAGCCTTTCTGGCAGCCAAGCAGGCTATTCAGCAAGCATAGGCCCTGCAAGTGATTGACCAGGGGCACCCATTTGAACTCGATGTGCATGGGACAACAGATGGCTTTAGCTGGAGCCTATGGCAGTGCATGGAGCACTTTAGAACACCAGTAGGCTTTTGCTCCCAACTTTGGAAGGGAGCCGAGCTCTGGTATTCATTGATAGAGAAGCAATTAGCAGCTATATATGCTGCCCTTCAGCCTTGTGAGAGTTTGACAGAAAAGGCTATAGTCATCGTGCAGACGACTTACCCAATAGTGGGGTGGATATGTTCATGGGTGAAACCCTCCAGACTGGGATGGCACAGACATCCACTTTAGCAAAGTGGGATGCCTACTTAGAACAGCAGAGTACCTTGAGTTCCAGCCCCTTAGCAGCAGAATTACGAGAAATCTTGGGACCTGTAGTCCTAATGCAAGATAAGGCCATGGATCGGCCTGAGACACCCCTGGACCCCAAGCCATCACCATTTAAGGAAGGGTGCCTCCCCATTCCTAATGAGGCATGGTTTAGCCAGAGTGCCACTGCTACCTGGACTCCTGTCATGGTCCAGCCTAGTATTGATACCATATGGTTTGACACCGGATGTGGACAAAGTAGTCAATGGGCTGAACTCAAGGCAATGTAGATGGTGATCACCAAGGAGACACCTATGGTAAGTAATCTGCACTGATAGCTTGGCAGTTTATCAAGATCTAACATTGTGGTGAACTACCTGGAAGTCACAGAATTAGTTTGTTGGCCACCAACCCATTTGGGTCCAAGACATGTGGCAAGACATACGGGAAATGTGCCAACGAAAGGGTGTAACTCTCTATCATGTGACAGGTCATGTGCCTTTGGCTGCCCCTGGCAATGACAAGGCAGATGCCTTGGCCAGAGTCCAGTGGTTGGAGTGAACACCTATATGAGATGTGGCCCTATGGCTACACTGGAAATTAGGCTGTATGGGGGGTAAACTGATGCAACAGAGCACTGGGGTCTGTTCTTGCCCAGGCAGGATATTTGGGAGGCCTGTGGTAAGTATCCAGCATGCACACAGGCATACCCCAGATGGAGGCAGCTGCCCAGTGTCATGTAACAAGTGATGATAGGGCAGATTCCCTTGACCAGATGGCAGATAGATTACACTGGGCCGCTGCCAAAATCGCAGGGATACACACATGTGCTGATGTCTGTAGACACGGCCACTGGCCTGTTGTTCACCTACCTTGTAGGGTGGCTGACCGACAACATACCATTCAGGACCTGCAACACTTGTGTGCTCTATATAGTTGCCACTTAGCCATTGAAAGTGATAGAGGAACACATTTCACTGGACAGCAGATAAACAGTGGGCATGGCAGACGGACATATAGTGGGGATTTCATGTTCCATATAATCCACAGGCTGCTGGCATGATTGAACAATATAATGGACTCTTGAAAAGTGGGTTACACTTGCATGTTACTCCCCCGTCTTTGCAGGGCTGGAGTTCAAGTTTGGACCTGGTGCTCCAGAACTTGAATGAGCGGCCATGAAAAGGTGGCCCAGCCATGGTGGAGATACTGCTACACCAGGCTGCTGCCTCCATTCAGTTACAGATGCACACCAAGGATGACCTCCTCCAACCAGGTATGGGGACAAACAGTAATCTATTGTTGCCTGCCCCAACACCCCTAAAGGTAAGAGAACAAAAAACCTGGCTTTGGCCATGGGCCCTCAAAGACCCCCACTGCAAGTGGTTGGCCATCGTAGCCCCCTGGGAGAAAGGTCTACAGTATGATTTACATGTCACTCCTTGGGTACTTGATATATAGTATCCACAATTGACCATTCATGGGGGAACAACCAAGAAAAGAACCCTCCTGTAGGGCACATATGTGCTGTCTGTGTAGCCTATTATAAGCTCCCCAGTAACTTTAGCATGAATACAGAACCGAAAGGAACCATGGGGAACTGAAAAGGTATGGTACCATTGTCCAGGAGAGAAGCCCCTGGCAGCTGCACTACTATCCAGAAATGAAGAGTTGGCCTGTATTTTGCCTGAGGAGCGTGATTTACCCCGTTAGTATCTGTGCCTGCTTTGTTGTTTCGACCATACGTTGACATGCTCCAACAGCATTGTGGAATGGGTCCACACCTACACTGAAGTGACTAACATTTCCAGTTAGTAAATCTGCACCACCCTTCCAGCAGCAGCTGTGGACAGCTTGCCCTGGCACATATACCCAGCTTCTATAGACAACTGGACATGGCTAGAGACTTAGGGTCCCATGGGCAATGCCTGGAATGTGACACGGCAAGCTTTGGATAGGGGGTGCCACAAAACCCATGACATGCCAGCCCCCTGGCTCACCTGTAGTGTCTATGATGGATGGGGCTGGTTAGTGAGAAAACACGTGGTGCCCCTGCCACAGGTACCACAATGTATAGAGCAACGTTGGGATAGCATCACCATGCGGTGGTTGCCCACCATAGCCTGCACAAGGTGCGGTGGAATAAGTGGCCTCATCAAGGACTTTGTGCCCCCTGGGAGTTTATGGGTCTGTGGAGACACAGGTTGGCCAAATATTTGCCAGTGAACTAGACTGGCTGCTGTGGCCGGTGAACTAGACTGGCTGCCACTGAGCTTCCCACATTGTCTAGATGCCCACACGACTGGGAAGTGCTACATTCTTGGATTTTGCTAGTGCGTCAGGCCCCATGGTTGCTCTCCCCCTTAGATTTGACCATCCCTGGAGCGGGTGTCATCACTGTAGAAACGCAGGTTACAGCCCTTGCAGAGCACCCAGCTCAGGCCCTGAATTATACCTGAGTCATCCTCCTCCTGTTAACCAATGAGGTTGATAAAACCAGAAAGGTGGTGCTGCAAAACCAGATGGCCTTAGATATATAGTAACAGCTGCCCAAAGTGGCACCTGTGCCCTTATAGGAACGCAGTGTTGTACCTTTATTCCAGACAATCAACAAAACATAACAGCAGCCTTACAAGGGATGTCACAGGAGATTAAAACAGTTGAGAGCCTTACTGACAATCCTCTACAGAGATGGTGGGCGTGCCTGGGCTCTGGCCTATGTTAGGCCCTGATAATCATAGGCAGCATAGCAGAAACATTAGTCATAGGTTGCTGCTCCCTGTATTGTTGCTGTGGCCTATGGGTCCAGGGTGCTGCCTTATGGGCACGTTTCCCCACTAAGAGGACACCCTCGGCTTAGGGGTTGGAGTGTAAGGAAACTGGCTGTGCAGCAGTCAAGAGTAGGCCCAGGTAAATATCCAGTGCAGCATGACCCAGCAGGATTGGAGTGCAGGCACACAATCTTGTGCATTATATAGTCACAGTTATGAAACCATGTTATGCGTGGGCTCGTCACCTGACTCTGAGCCACTATTGTCTGTGAGGTGCATAAATGTATCACCGACACTGTGAGAGTGGCAGTGCGTAATAAAACCATGTCCCGCCTGCCTATGGCCCCCCAAGTGTTCTTTCAACTACCCGCCCACCAACTCCCCTTGGACCTCAGCTCAGGTTGGAACCTGACAGGATGTCAAAGCAAAGATGGGGTATATGAAAGTGGAGCCAGGCAAGACAAAAGCAGATAGAGTCTGAGTTAGATGCTGGTCTGATGGGAGAATATCTCCTGGGTGGGATTATCCAACTTAAAGAGTATAATTTTGACAATATAGTATATTTGACAAATAGGCAATTCTGGAATATGTCACTATCAGTGTCTACAAAAAAATCTGAAGGAATAAAGTAGAAATACAAAGAATAATGTAAAGGAAAAAACTCAATTATATCAAGCAAACAGTGCTGTAGAAGAAAAGGAAACAACGTACAAAGTAATTTAAACTTAAAAATTCAGCTGAGCTTCACTGAAGGTGTATACTGGAATGGTAGAGAGAAATGAAACTAGAGACAAATCTCCTACAGCTACAGAAAAATACATGGGAGAAAATAATGTTACTCAAGAGTTGAAACATTTAAAAACTGAGCACAGAGTTTTAAACAGCAGGCCCCTAAAGAGTACAGATTTCAGAATAACCAAAAGAAACTTCAGTTCAGAAAGCTATTAAGGGTGATTCTCAGATACTAAGAAAAAATTTTGTTCTAGTAGCAAGTTTCTGGGCTTAAGCAATTAATACTGAAAAAAATGAACAGGTTCAGGGTGGAAAATGCTTGCTCACAAAATATTGGAACACTGTTACGTTAAGTGGATTTCATGCCTATTAAACTTTGGGGTGCCTGAGGCACATGACTCAAGGGAGAAATATAAATTAAAAGAGTTTAAGTATGCAGAAGAAAAATAAAAGCACCTGAAATGAGACTCATAGGCCAAAACCACCACCATTATAATTTCTGAGCTACAAAAAAATATATAGAGTGCATGCATAGGTTTCCCTCCCCAATTCTAATCATAGGATAGTGACAAAATGGACTCTTGGTAGCAGAGATCTCAGGCTTTCAGATTCACTGCTCATGGATTTGAAAGAACTGAAATCATAGGCAGGAGTCACAGCAAGTTTGAACTAAGAAAAATATCGCCATCTAACTTCCTTCTCTTAAATACTGTTGAGACTTCAGCAACACTAGGTACATGGTCCTGGATACACACTTCTGTTTGAGATCAGTGGTCTATGAAATGGGAATTGACCCATTTTCCAACTGAACAGATGCGGAATTGGTGCTTGGATAATTTTTTTGTTCTATTAATGTGTTGGACACTTTTTCAAAAATGCAAAGGTATAAAAAATGTAACAGATACAACTGAAAGAAACCCACATATTTATATGAAAAAATTTGGCCACAGATGCTAAAGAAAACCTAACTCTACCCAGGCCAGGAAGAGAAATTGGGAAAGACTTGAAGTCCTTTTATTTTCATTTTACTTAAGCAATATAATTTGATTTGGGACTTGAAATCCATGGAATCTCCCTGGAAATTGTACAATTAGAAGGCAGTTACACTCAAATTCGGAATATCTCTGTGTTGATGGAAGTTTATTACCAGAATATCATAATGTCTCATTCATTCTTATTGCAAAATTCTGACAAGCAATGTTAGACATTATGGTCAGCCCTAAGTGTGAAGTGCTCATTTAATTAGCAAAAAGTTCTGACCTATATCAGAGCCATCTGGGTGCTAAATCTACACTGACAATTAATGATTCCAGAAGGATCAATAATTGGTACAGGGGGAGTGGCCTCATGAAGAGGGAAGCTGTCTCAAGAAGTCTATCTTCTCCTCCAGGAGGAAAAGCCATACTCCTGATTGAGCATAGGCTTATTGGTTAAACTTGATGGGTGAAAAGCAACAAAAGCAACAAGAACAGTAACGATCTAAGATGATGGCAGAGCATCTTGGTCCTTTCAGGCTGCTAAAACAAAATACCACAAACTAGCTACCTTTTAAACAACAAAAATGTATTTATCATTGTTTTGGAGGCTGAGAAGTCCAAGACCAAGGCACCTGGCAGGTTCAGTGCCTGGTGAGGGCCTGCTTCTTCATAGACAGCTGTCTTCTCACTTTATCTTCACACGGTGGAAAGGCAAGGGGTCTCTCTGGGGCCTCTTTTATAAAAACACTAATCTCATTCATGAAGGCTCTGCTCCCATAAAGTAATTACCTCCCAAATGCCCTACATCCCAATACCATAACCTTGGGGGTGGGGATTTCCACATACACATTTTGGGGGGATGTAAACATTCAGACCACAGCACAGAGGCTGAGGGAAACTGAGTATATTATTAGATTGACAAATATGGGACAAGAAACCGGACAAGCAGAGCTGAGATCTTTTCCCTTTCCTCCTCCTTTTTGGGAACCAATCTGCCTGCAGAGGGCACATATTATGGTCTATCTTTAACACAAATGTAATTTTACAACTCTGCTACCTGGGAGGAGGCCTGCCATAGTCCAGACAGGCCTGTGGATGAGAAAATCTGCCTGTTTATGGGCAGTAATATTCAGCATTTTTGAGGTTCACTATCTTTGCCAAACACCCAAGACAAGTGTCCCAACAGCTCTAGCAATAACAAAGCAAACATTTAAATCCTCCTCAGCTAGATTTCGTTGTCTATCTCAATTGAATCAGAATTAAGAAAAAGGGTTTGGAGAGATGTTATGTACTGTTCCTCTCCAAATCCCAAATATTTCCAGTTCTTAAAGCACAACCACACCCTGTTTTGTCACACCAGACAGCTCTATTACCTGCCTAACCAAAGTAAGCATTTGAGTGTGACCTCTGGACCAGAGTAATAAAAATAATTAAAATATTAAATGTTTACTAGTGCAAGGACCTACACTGTTATTATTTCTGTGGTAGGGAGGAGGGAATTAAGGCTTAGTGATTATACATTATCCAAGGTCACAAAGCTAGAAAGAAGGAAAGCCAGAACTGGAACCCAGATTTTCCTGACTTGGGAACCCTCAGTATTCTCACACTTTGTTTAGTCCATGCCAAAAATATCTTGATCATTTATTTCTATCACCCCCCAAAAAATCCCAAATTTTTAAAACTTTTTCTAGTGGAAAAGATCGGGAATCTTAAAGCACTTAGAGCATCACTGCCTAGAAAAGCACAGACATGTGTCAGCACATTCTCAGCACTCAAGTAATATCTGCTCATTCTTATTTATAATGTCTAAGAGAGATTCATGTAACTCCACCCAGCCTTTAGTCTCCAAATCCATTTTTCCAATTTTTCTTCCTTCTATGAGATATATCATTCCCCTGCACAGGCCACTATGTCAATTTGGAATCCACTTTCCTTCACATAATCTGTTAAGTCAGCATCTCCTGCTGATTTTTCTTTGAGAATATTCCTCCCATGAATCTTTTCATTGCATGACTACCACTACAATTAACCTAAGTCTCTAAAGGTCTAAATGATTATTTTAGACCTTAAAACATCACAAAAGCATTTTAAGTGGATTTCAGTTTCTAGATTCCCAATTACAATACATTTGACAGAGTCCATATTTCCTTTACACAAACCACTTACTGGATTCTGATTGACTTTAAACTAACGTCCACATCCTTTGTTCATGGTCTGGCCCCTACATCTCTAATATAATACTCTACTAACTCCCTAGTCAAAGACTCAAATCCAGACAAACTGCTTTACTCATTTTTCCCTGAATATATGTTTACATTACTTTCTCTTAAGTGAAATATGAAAAATATGATAAACCAATAATATATATAAATGGGCTCACCATCATTCACAACTATAGATACTTTAATTAAAACAATGAAATACATTTTTAATTGAGTAGCTATGCAAAGATGCTAAGGGATAAATTCTAGGATTTGATAGCACAGTAAGGTGACTACAGTTAATAATTTATTGTGTATTTCAAAATGGCTAAAAGAAAGATTTAAAATGCTCCCAACACAAAGAAATAATAAGTGTTTAAGGTGATGGATATCCTAAATACCCTGATTTGATCATTACACATTGTATGTCTATATCAGATTATCGCACATACCCCATGTGATATGTGCAATTATTACATATCAATAACAAAATACATATGTACAATTATTATGTATCAATAACAAAAATAAAAAATATTGAAAAGTTGCATTGAATTGGACAAACACACATTCACACACAAATGAGTGTGTATATGACTGGTGAAAGCTGAATAAACTATGGGTTGCATCAATGTTAATTTCCTAGTTTTGATATTATGTTATAGATGTTAACATTAGGGAATTTTAGGTAAAGGGTGCAGTACATGGGATTCCCCATACATATCTTTACCACTTCCTATAAATATATAATTATTTCTTATAAACATGTAATTATTTCAAAATGAAGGTAAAGATTGTGAAATTCTTACCAAAATAGAAAGCTGAATATTGTTAATACTTTAAGAGGAGTGTAAATGCTATATAAATGTTTTAGGATTGCTAAAATATGTTTGTATAATCTTATAAACTCTTAACAAATCTAGTGTAAACAGCCAACAATAAAAAGAACAAGTTGCAGAATAGATGAACGGTTGTATCTCATTTATGTAAAATATGTACATATTTATTGACTAAAATATCAAGAAAGAGGCCACATGTTGGTTCATGCCTGTAATCTCAGCACTTTGGGAAGCCAAGGTGGGCAGATCACCTGAGGTCAGGAGTCCAAGACCAGCCTGGCCAACATGGTGAAACCCCATTTCTACTAAAAATACAAAAATTAGCCAGGCGTGGTGGTGTGCACCTGTAGTCCCAGCTACTTGGGAGGCTAAGGCACAAGAATCACTTGAACCCGGGAGGAGAAGATTGCAGTGAGCCGAGATGTCGCCATTGCACTCCAACCTGGGCAACAGAGTGAGACTCTGTCTCAAAAAAATTAAAATAAAATATCAAGAATATCCACTCCTACCTGTTAATAATGCTTACCTCTAGAGAATGTGATAGAGCTGGAGAAAAAGAGAGTGGAATTTTATTTTTTACGTTAATACAATTCTATATTGCTTAACTTTTTTGGTATTGCTGTATTTTTGATGTAATCTAAAATTAATTAGGAGGATAATGAAACAGAAGAAATTGAAAGAGAAAGAAGGAACTGCCTCCTCTAAGCCTTTGCTCATCCCATTCCTTCAATGCCTATTTTAAAACATTTTTTCCTGCATGAGATCTCAACAGAACTCAGAACACCAGAGGTATTTTACTTATTGTCTAACACTATACATTTGAGACTTAGAAAGTCTTTCTTAAAATATTAGACTCTAGAATTACAGATTTTTCAAGAAGTGTTTACCATGATAATACTAATGCCTTATATTTGCAAAAAGAGGGGTTATTCACAAATTATCTCGTTACTTTATCTGCCATTAGAAAGAAAAGAGTAAAGAAAATGCTCACTGGAAAAACACAGACCTTAATTCAGTACCATAGTCTTAAACTTCTGGGTCAGTCAATCAGTCAGAAGAAAAAATAATGCAACCTTAAAGAATTAATGCAAATTTAATGAATGAAGATTTGGGGATTATTTGAACATAGCTACTTCTTTCAGAAAAGCAAGATAAGTTTTAGAAATTATTAAAATTCTCATATTAACACCCAAAAAGTGATTCTGTCCAGAGATACTAGTCCAGTGCTCATTAATCCACTGTTGTATAACTTTCTGCAAAATAATGCCCTGTCCTCCTGTGGCAGCTTCTTTCCTATGCGACAAACATCCTCAAAAGTATTTGCAGTAGAGGGAAGAGATTCCAAAATGTATATGCCACTGCATTCAGACTTCCTGTGTCTTTCACTGATGTTTGGGCAACGATAAGGATTGTTCAATGTTTGTGAAGACACAGCAGCAGTACATATCTTCAGGAGTTCATCTGAAGTACTTAAATGTAGATATATCTTCCATTCTACGCTGGTACCTGTATAATTGATCTTGATATTTGGATATTTATCATTCACTTGAAAAAACTGAAAGAAATAGATCTGATATATATCAAAACTTTATTCACTGAGGGCTAAGAATTAATTTTATAATAACATCAAAATTATACCTGCATTTTACTATATCCTAAGCAATTATCGTATAAATCTGAGTATCTGAAAGATATGACATATCATCTCAAGTATTAAATTACAGTAGAGAGATAGAAGAAGATTCGGTTTTATTCAGATTCCAAATAAAATGTAGGGTCTTTCAGAACTTTCTGTTGATTTTCCAATATAACTGTGCCTTGTGCACCATCTAGAGGAAAGATGTTAAATTTATACTGAGCAGAAACACTTGCATTGGTTGTGGAGACAAATTGAACAATCTCACCATGAGAGTTATAAACTAAAAACTATTTCATCTACCTAAGATGATTTTCATGTAGTCTTGCTGGAATATGAATTCCCATCTTATGTAGATGAAGTTAGATATCAGTTGGAATCTACCATGAATATTTATAGTTGCAATTACTTTAAACTGTTACTTGAATATAATTTAAATTTTAATTTCCCTTGGTAAATTAGAGGGCCTACAGCTAGATTTTCTTCTAATATTAAACTAAAGGTTATTTATTTAAAATTAAATATAACACTGTGTTATCCATAGTTTAAACAACCAAGAAAAACCCCTCTTTTATTTTCAATATTAAAAAAAAGACAAGCTCTGTTTTACTGACAAGGAAATCAAAATGTGGATTAGAAAAACTTTCAGACCTAAGTGTTCTATTACCAAAAAAGAGACAAGAAAAGAATTGAACTTCATCATCAAACACTTTTTCCAAATATCTTTCCAAGCTTCCTAGAATCCATAGAGCAAAGTGAGTTAAATCAATGCTTGCACTGTCTTCTATTAGTAAATATGTGTAATATGCAACTCTGTCTTTATAGTAGATACTCAAGTTATTTCCTAACAATAATTGTTACAATTGCTTTTAAACACAATTTTTTTAAATGAGATGAGGTCCCTTATTGTCTTACTATGCTATATCAAAAGCACCTAACCAGGACAAAAACTCTACGTCCTCATCTCTTGTTAATATATACCCTCTCTTCCTAATTAATCTCATTCAAAAATAAAGTCTCAGTTAATAGTTATATAACAATGACTCCAAATTAATATATAGAATATATTATCACCTTTGTATATTTAAAAGTAACTCAGCCTCTCTACTTGTATGTTTCAAAGATATTTCAACTCAACACATTCAGGGCTATTGTGTTCCTTCCTCCACAGTTTGCTTCTCTTGCCGCACCCCTTTGTTCAGTCTATGGCGCCATGAAACTTGAAAGTCATCCTTGAAAAACTCCCTCTTCCTGTTTTTCCATATCTAAGCCATCGTCCAAACCACTAATTTAACTCTAAGTAACTCTCAAATCTGTTCACCCCTGTCTATCTTTATTCCTAGTTCAAACTAACAACACTCTGACTTGGGCAATGGTCACAACCTCCAACCATCGCCTTGTATTATATGGCCCACACCCAGTTGACCACACAGCAGCCAGCCTGTTCTCTTTGCACTGCTTCTGCCTGGAAACCTTCTATAAGCTTTTAGAGGCTTCCCATTGCTCCTAGAAGTCAAGATCCCAGGCCTGACTCTGGTTAAGAAGGTTCCCCCTATCTGATCAATGCGTGCTTCACTGGTCTCAGGTCACATTTCTTTTCCTTTTGTCCTCCATGCTGTAGCCCCTGGAATTCTCTCAGTTTCTCTAAATACCATTCTCTTTTCCAAGACTAGAATTTGGTAAATGTTATACTTTTTCTTTAAATGCTCTTCCTCTTGCCCCATTTTCATCTAATTATTTTATTTTCAGTTATACTTTAGATGTCGATTCAAATTTGCTTTCTTGGGGAACCCACCCCCTGAGACTAAGTCAGGCACTTTCACTTATCCACCCCCTGGGGAATCCCCATGAGCATAGAAAACTCTGGTTTTGCTCATCATTACATTCTCAGCGCAAGGCATAGAGTTAGTAAGAACTTAAATATTTCTTGAAGGAAGAAACAAATATATGAATGAGAATGGTCACTTTGGTTTTCTTGCAAAAACAAAATCAAGGTAAAAGAAAGAGTACTTGTTTGTCACTTTATCTCCTCTCTTTCCCAAGACCCAATGAAAACAATAGTATAAGTAAACACAAAAATGGTGTAAACCAACAATGAGAAATAGAACAGAAAGTGGGACACTCAACAAATGATGTTAACAAATTTTCAGAAGACTGAAAGTAGGTGATGAACTAGTAACTATTAAAGTAAGGCAAAGGAAGATGCTGTACAGGACATACACGGAAAGGGAAGAAGAGGAAAGCTAATCTGTCCACTAGAAACCAGAGGACTGGGGAGTTTGAAGTGCCACTATGGTGGAGAGTTGAAGTGAGGCATGGCATAAAAACAGAGATAATTCGAAAGATTTCAGATAAAACATGTTACTTCCCCCCACAGCCACCTCCCTCCTTCAACCTCTGCTTTCTCAGAAGGTCCAACTGTCTTGCACTTATCCCCATCCTAACCCCAGGTGAAAGTCAGAGAGAGAAAGTGCTCACACAAAAGTGGGACAGAAAGGAAGAAGAAAGGAAGGAAAGAAGGAAGGAAGGACGGAAGGAAGGAAGGAAGGAAAGAAGGAAGGAGCCACCCTTCTCTGTATAAAACTCTGAATATACTTTGGAAGAACCAGGGCAGTTTGCATGGGAATGGAAACTCAGATATTTAGGAGTCTCAAATTATAGTGTTTAGTGCCCCACCCACAATGATAATGTTTAGTGCCCTACTCACATACCTTAAAACAAAGCTTTCCAGTACAATAACTGTATCTGACGGAAACTCACTTGGCTTTTCTATTACCTCTTTCATAAGTCAAATGGACAAGCAAGAACCACCAAGAAAAAAACCTGCAACATGGATGAGAAAAGCCAAAATAAGCAAAAATGACTCCAGAAAAAACACAGGTAATTCATCAACAAAAGGACTCAAAAAAAAAAAAAGATTTCTTATCGCATCCTGACAGATATTGGAGAAGATATTTCATATATTGCATCTATAAAACAAATAAAAAACAACAACAAGATACTATTAAAAAGTAAAAATAAGAAAGCAAATGTGTTATGGGAAATTAAAACATGAATACTAAAAAATCTTCCAGAATATAAAACTAAAAGATAAGCAATAGAAAATAGAAGATAAAATGAGATAAAGATGATTACTCCAAGATATCCAACATAAGAGGGAGCAGAGATAATAGAGGGGAGGTGATAATAAAAAATAATAATAGAAGAAATCTCCTACAGCTGAAGTACTTATTCAGTGAAAGTCCACAGATTGAAAGAGCCCATGGTGTGTCTGGCTCAATTAATAAAAGAAAGACATATGCTGAGCCATATCATTATAAAACCTCAAAACAATAACTATAGAGAATATATTTAAATTTTTCACTGTGGAGATAAAAACAAATGTTTAAAAAGGAACAGAAGATAGCCTATCATCAGAGTTATCAGCAGTACTTGGTGACAGAAAACAATGGAAGAAGATTTTCAAAATTCTGAAGGAAAATGATTTTCCACCTTGGAATGCATGTACTCCAGCACAACCATCCATCAAATGTGAGGGAAAAGAAAGAAATACTTTCAGACACATAGGCAATCAGAAAATTTAACTACCATGGTGCTTTCTGGTGAAAAACCTTTAGGATACATTCCTACAAAAGAAAGAAACAGACCAAGAGGGAGAAAAATGACAGGCAACAATGGGTCTTTCTCAGAAGAGCAGTGAAGTAGAGTCCCAGGATGACAGGAGAACACCAGAACAGCAAACTGTACTCTGTGGCCCGGCAAGATGGCAGTCTCCAGACAAAAGAACCAGGTGGGGGAAAAGTCCACAATGTCATAGACTGTACAATATGAACTTCGAACAAAATGTAAAATGAAACAAAGGTAAATGATGCAAGGAGGAAGAAGAAGCCAATTAGAAATTACAAGAAATAAACAATTGTAAAAGAAGAAAAACATAGATATAATGCACTACTTACCTCTCCAGTGAACGCTATTTACCTGATCATAATGACATTAACACTGTCTATTCAATTTCTTATTTTAGAATCCATTTATGGACCAACTATGAAAGCACTGTGGTTATAGAGTACAATGTAAGTGGAATGAAGCTCATTAAAAGTGAAAGTACAGTGACGAAAGGTGGCAGGTGGAAGGGAAAGTTGGAGAACTGAAGGGTAGAGTGGGGGTCCTGTCCATGTTGTGTGGAGTGGAAACAAAAGATACTCTCTATAGTTGGAGAAACAAGGAATCAAGGTTGTGTACATCTTAAAACTGCAGGAATTAAAGCAATAGATAGAAGATAAAATTTTTAATTGAAATACACTAGAAGGCAGGGGAATGTAAGAAAGCTTAGTAAAAATGAGCTAAGTACTCCTCTATCATAGTAAGAAGTCAATAAAGAATATCAAAAATTGATAAATCTTGGAATAGATATATAAGCACATTTTGGAAATATCTTAACAGTGTACAAGCTGTGTAACTGCCAAGTTAGTTAACCCCAGTATGCCTCAGTTTCTTCATCTTTAAAATGAGAATAATAATAGTACATATCTCATGGTGCTTGTGATGATTAAATGAGTCAATATATGTAATCTTTTTTTTATTATTCTTTAAGTTTTAGGGTACATGTGCACAACGTGCAGGTTAGTTACGTATGTATACACGTGCCATGTTGGTGTGCTGCACCCATTAACTCATCATTTAACATTAGGTATATCTCCTAATGCTCTCCCTCCCCCCTCCCCCCACCCCACAACAGGCCCCAGTGTGTGATGTTCCCCTTCCTGTGTCCATGTGTTTTCATTGTTCAACTCCCACCAATGAGTGAGAACATGCGGTGTTTGGTTTTTTGTCCTTGAGATAGTTTGCTGAGAATGATGGTTTCCAGCTTCATCCATGTGCCTACAAAGGACATGAACTCATCCTTTTTTATGGCTGCATAGTATTCCACAGTGTATATGTGCCACATTTTCTTAATCCAGTCTATCATTGTTGGACATTTGGGTTGGTTCCAAGTCCTTGCTATTGTGAATAGTGCCGCAATAAACATACGTGTGCATGTGTCTTTATAGCAGCATGATTTATAATCCTTTGGGCATATACCCAGTAATGGTATTGCTGGGTCAAATGGTATTTCTAGTTCTAGATCCCTGAGGAATCGCCACACTGACTTCCACAATGGTTGAACTAGTTTACAGTCCCACCAACAGTGTAAAAGTATTCCTATTTCTCCACATCCTCTCCAGCACCTGTTGTTTCCTGACTTTTTAATGATTGCCATTCTAACTGGTGTGAGATGGTATCTCATTGTGGTTTTGATTTGCATTTCTCTGATGGCCAGTGATGATGAGCATTTTTTCATGTGTCTCTTGGCTGCATAAATGTCTTCTTTTGAGAAGTGTCTGTTCATATCCTTTGTCCACTTTTTGATGGGGTTGTTTGTTTTTTTCTTGTAAATTTGTTTGAGTTCATTGTAGATTCTGGATATTAGCCCTTTGTCAGATGAGTAGATTGCAAAAATTTTCTCCCATTCTGTAGGTTACCTGTTCACTCTGATGGTAGTTTCTTTTGCTGTGCAGAAGCTCTTTAGTTTAATGAGATCCCATTTGTTAATTCTGGCTTTTGTTGCCATTGCTTTTGGTGTTTCAGACATGAAGTCCTTGCCCATGCCTGTGTCCCGAATGGTATTGCCTAGGTTTTCTTCTAGGGTTTTTATGGTTTTAGATCTAATATTTAAGTCTTTAATCCATCTTGAATTAATTTTTGTATAAGGTGTAAGGAAGGGATCCAGTTTCAGGTTTCTACGTATGGTTAGCCAATTTTCCCAGCACCATTTATTAAATAGGGAATCGTTTCCCCATTTCTTGTTTTTGTCAGGTTTGTCAAAGATCAGATAGTTGTAATGTGTGGTATTATTTCTGAGGGCTCTGTTCTGCTCCATTGGTCTATATCTCTGTTCTGGTACCAGTACCATGCTGTTTTGCTTACTGTAGCCTTGTAGTATAATTTGAAGTCAGTAGCACGATGCCTCCAGCTTTGTTCTTTTGGCTTAGGATTGTCTTGGCAATGAAGGCTCTTTTTTGGTTCCATATGAACTTTAAAGTAGTTTTTTCCAATTCTGTGAAGAAAGTCATTCGTAGCTTGATGGGGATGGCATTGAATCTATGAATTACCTTGGGCAGTGTGGCCATTTTCATGATATTGATTCTTCCTACCCATGAGCATGGAATGTTCTTCCATTTGTTTGTATCCTCTTTTATTTCATTGAGCAGTAGTTTGTAGTTCTCCTTGAAGAGGTCCTTCACATCCCTTGCAAGTTGGATTCCTAGGTATTTTATTCTCTTTGAAGCAATTGTGAATGGGAGTTCACTCATGATTTGGCTCTCTGTTTGTCTGTTATTGGTGTATAAGAATGCTTGTGATTTTTGTACTTTGATTTTGTATCCTGAGACTTTGCTGAAGTTGCCTATCAGCTTAAGGAGATTTTGGGCTGAGACAATGGGGTTTTCTAGATATACAATGATGTCATCTGCAAACAGGGACAATTTGACTTCCTCTTTTCCTAATTAAATACCCTTTATTTCCTTCTCCTGCCTGATTGCCCTGGCCAGAACTTCCAACACTATGTTGAATAGGAGTGGTGAGAGAGGGCATCCCTGTCTTGTACCAGTTTTCAGAGGGAATGCTTCCAGCTTTTGCCCATTCAGTATGATATTGGCTGTGGGTTTGTCATAGATAGCTCTTATTATTTTGAGATACATTCCATCAATACTTAATTTATTGAGAGTTTTTAGCATGAAGCATTGTTGAATTTTGCCAAAGGCCTTTTCTGCATCTATTGAGATAATCATGTGGTTTTTGTTGTTGGTTCTGTTTATATGCTGGATTATGTTTATTGATTTGCATATGTTGAACCAGCCTTGCATCCCAGGGATGAAGCCCACTTGATCATGGTGGATAAGCTTTTTGATGTGCTGCTGGATTCGGTTTGCCAGTATTTTGTTGAGGATTCTTGCATCGATGTTCATCAAGGATATTTGTCTGAAATTCTCTTTTTTTGTTGTGTCTCTGCCAGGCTTTGGTATCAGGATGATGCTGGCCTCATAAAATGAGTTAGGGAGGATTCCCTCTTTTTCTATTGATTGGAATAGTTTCAGAAGGAATGGTACGAGGTCCTCCTTGCACCTCTGGTAGAATTCGGTTGTGAATCCATCTGGTCCTGGACATTTTTTGGTTGGTAAGCTATTAATTATTGCCTCAATTTCAGAGCCTGTTATTGGTCTATTCAAAGATTCAACTTCTTCCTGGTTTAATCTTGCGATGGCGTATGTGTTGAGGAATTTATCCATTTCTTCTAGATTTTCTAGTTTATTTGCATAGAGGTTTTTATAGTATTCTCTGATGGTAGTTTGTATTTCTGTGGGATCGGTGGTGATATCCCCTTTATCATTTTTTATTGCGTCTACTTGATTGTTCTCTCTTTTCTTCTTTATTAGTCTTGCTAGTGGTCTATCAATTTTGTTGATCTTTTCCAAAAACCATCTCCTGGATTCATTGATTTTTTGAAGGGTTTTTTTCTATTTCCTTCAGGTCTGCTCTGAGCTTCATTATTTCTTGCCTTCTGCTAGCTTTTGAATGTGTTTGCTCTTGCTTCTCTAGTTCTTTTAATTGTGATGTTAGGATGTCAATTTTAGATCTTTCCTGCTTTCTCTTGTGGGCATTTAGTGCTATAAATTTCCCTCTACACATTGCTTTGAATGTGTCCCAGAGATTCTGGTATGTTGCGTCTTTGTTCTCATTGGTTTCAAAGAACATCTTTATTTCTGCCTTCATTTCGTTATGTACACAGTAGTAATTCAGGAGCAGGTTGTTCAGTTTCCATGTAGTTGAGCGGTTTTGAGTGAGTTTCTTAATCCTGAGTTCTAGTTTGATTGCACTGTGGTCTGAGAGACAGTTTGTTATAATTTCTGCTCTTTTACATTTGCTGAGGAGTGCTTTACTTCCAACTATGTGGTCAATTTTGGAATAGGTGCAGTGTGGTGCTGAAAAGAATGTATATTCTGTTGATTTGGGGTGGAGAGTTCTGTAGATGTCTATTAGGTCCGCTTGGTGCAGAGCCGAGTTCAATTCCTGGATATCCTTGTTAACTTTCTGTCTCGTTGATCTGTCTAATGTTGACAGTGGGGTGTTAAAGTCTCCCATTATTATTGTGTGGGAGTCTAAGTCTCTTTGTAGGTCTCTAAGGACTTGCTTTATGAATCTGGGTGCTCCTGTATTGGGTGCATATATATTTAGGATAGTTAGCTCTTCTTGTTCAATTGATCCCTTTACCATTATGTAATGGCCTTCTTTGTCTCCTTTGATCTTTGTTGGTTTAAAGTCTGTTTTATCAGAGACTAGGATTGCAATCCCTGCCTTTTTTTATTTTCCATTTGCTTGGTAGATCTTCCTCCATCCATTTATTTTGAGCCTATGTGTGTCTCTGCACATGAGATGGGTTTCCTAAATACAGCACACTGATGGGTCTTGACCCTTTTTCCAACTTGCCAGTCTGTGTCTTTTAATTGGAGCATTGAGCCCATTTACATTTAAGGTTAATATTGTTATGTGTGAACTTGATCCTGTCATTACGATGTTAGCTGGTTATTTTGCTCGTTAGTTGATGCAGTTTTTTCCTAGCCTCCACTGTCTTAATGAATCATTGAAAGAACTCAGAGAAATCATGTGCATTTGACATCATCCAGGTAATTTTTTAAATTATACTTGCCAAGAGAAGCACTAACTGTAAATTCATATTTTATCAATAATTAAAATAAAATGGATATTAACTAAGGGGGAAAATCTGATCCTAGGGAATACAACTCTCTAAAGTACATTCAGTGATGTGGTTTTGCTGAGAATGAACAATTCTCCTGTTGGGGGAGTGAAACTTAAGAAATTAATCATATTTATATCATTTTGGGGCCACCGAAAATGGGATTCAGGTTTCTTTAGCAGATTTCTCTTTCTGCCTGCATTTACAGGTCGCCATAGTAACAGAGAGTGAACAGCAGAGGGAGCTGAAGATGCAAGCCAGCCGGTGAACATCTGTAAGACCAGTATTTCACAGCAGGCTTGGAGTTAGCGGCATTCATGTGCAAAACTCCGCATCCTGAGGCTGTGCAAAGCATACTGATTGAAATAATTAGGAGATTTACTTATTCTCAAAAGAATTATAAAAACATAAAGGTATCTTTAATAGAATCCGTTCTTGACAAATATTAATTTGGGGGTCAATGTGATTAGGAAAAGATTTTAATTTAACAAGTTCAGGAGTACATGTGCAGGTTTGTTACATAGGTAAACTCATGCCAAGGGGGGTTTGTTTTACAGACTATTTCATCACCCATGTATTAAGCCTTGTATCCATTATTTATTTCTTCTGATCCTCTCTCTCCTCCCACTCTCCATCCTCCAGTAGCCCCAGTGTCTGTTGTTCTCCTCTATGTGTCTGTGTGTTCTCAACATTTAGCTCTCACTTGTAAATGAGAACATGTGATATTTGGTTTTCTATTCCCGCATTAGTTTGCTAAAGATAATGGCCTTCAGCTTCATTCATGTTTCGCATGTGGTGTAGCACATTTTCTTTATCCGGTCTACCATTGATGGTCACCTAGATTGATTCCATGTCTTTGCTATTGTGAATAGTGCAGCAATGAACATACACATGCATGCGTCTTTATGATAGAACGGTTTATACTCCTTTAAGTAAATATCCAGTAATGGGATTGCTGAGTCTAATGGTAGTTCCGTTTTTAGGTCTTCGAGGAATCATCACACTGTTTTCCACGATGGTTGAACTAATTTACACTCTCACCAACAATTTATAAGCGCTCCTTTTTCTCTGCAACCTTGCCAGCACCTGTTATTTTTCTGACTTTTTAATAATAGTCATTGTGACTGGTGTGAGATGATCAATGTGGTTTTGAATTGCATTTCTCTAATAATCGGTGATATTCAGCTTTTATTCATATGCTTGTTGGCCACAATTTCTTTGAAAAGTGTTCGCTCATGTCCTTGGCCCACTTTTTAATGGGTTTGTTTGGGTCTTGTAAATTTGTTTAAGTTCCTTATAGATGCTATAAATTAGACCTTTGTCAGATGCATAGTTTGCAAATATTTTCTCCCATTCTGTAGGTTGTCTGTTTATTCTGTTGATAGTTTCTTTTGCTGTGCAGAAGCTCTTTAGTTTAATTAGATCCCATTTGTCAATTTTGGCTTTTTATGCAATTGCTTTTGGTTTCTTTGTCCTAAGATCTTTTCTCATTCCTATGTCCAGGTTGGTATTGCCTAGGTTATCTTCCAGAGTTTTTTATAGTTTGGTGTTTTACATTTAAGTCTGTAATCCATCTTGAGTGGATTTTGTATATGGTGTAACGAAGGGGTCCAGTTTCAATCTTCTGCATATGGCCAGTCAGTTATCCTAGCACCATTTACTGAATAGGGGAGTCCTTTCCTTATTGATTGTTTTTATCAGCTTTGTTGAAGATCAGTTTGTTGTAGATGTATATGACCTTATTTCTGAGCTCTCTATTCTGTTCCATTGGTCTATGTGTCTGTTTTGGTTACTGTAGTCCTGTAGTATAGTTTGAGGCCCTGTGGTGTGATGTCTCCAGATTTGTTCTTTTTGCTTAGGATTGCCTTGGCTATTAGTGCTTGTTTATGAATTTTTAAATATTTTTTTCTAGTTCTGTGAAGAATGATATTGTAGTTTGATAGCAATAGCAATGAATCTATAAATTGCTTTGGGCAGTATGGCCATTTTAATTATGTTGATTCTTACTATCCACGAGCATGGAATATTTTTCCAATTGCTTGTGTCATCTCTGATGTCTTTGAGCAGTGTTTTGTAATTTTTATTGTAGAGGTCTTTCACCCCCCGTTAGCTGTATTCATAGCTATTTTATTTTTGTGTCAATTGTGAAGTGGATTGCCTTCTGATATGGCTCTTGGCTTGACTATTTTTGGTGTATAGGAATGTTGGTGATTTTTGTATGTTGATTTTGTATCCTGAGACTTTGCTGAAGTTGTTTATCAGCTTAAGGAGCTATTGGGCTGAGACTATGAGGTTTTCTAGATATAGATTTATGTCATCTGTAGACAGAGATAGTTTGACTTCCTCTCTTCCTATTTGTACGCCCTTTATTTATTTATCTTTCCTGATTGCTCTGACCAGGACTTCCAATAATATGGTGAATAGGAGTAGTGAGACAGAGTATCATTGTGCCAGTTTTCAAGGATAATGCTTCCAGCTTTTGCCCATTCAGTATGATGTTGGCTGAGGGTTTGTCATAGACAGCTCAAAAAGATTTTTTAATGCATTTATCTTTAAAATGTCTTGGAAATGCCATCCTCAAATATTTCAGCATCTCCAGATTCCTGTTATGAGTAATACCAATCAGTGCAAAGAGGGTAGAAGAGTAAGCCAGAACAAAACACTCTTATTATTTTTACTAAGAAGAACTTGTTTAGGGTGGCCCAGTTACAAACCTGTTGACACACAGCATTCTTTTCATTTCTATTTGCTACTCTCTTCTCAACTGTTCCATGTTTTTCACTTCCTTTCTCTGTGTTGCCTTTCTCTTATATTTCATTTGCTTGTCACTTTTCTTTCATTTCCACAACTCCTTTTTTCCAAGAGTTTCCTATTTGTTCTTGGCTATTTCTATTTTATCATTTGTTCCAGTCACATTTTATTTCAACCCATTTATTATTGCCCTTCCATTTATTTTTATTTTTAATAATTTTCCCTCTTTTTCTCATTATCTTTTTTCCATCTATGGGTTCTTCTTCTTTTATAATCTATTAACTTTAAAAAATTTCTTTTTTGCCAGGCACGGTGGCTCATGCCTCTAATTCCAGCAGTTTGTGAGGCCAAGGCAGGAGGATCACTTAAGCTCAGGAGTTCAAGACAAACCTAGGCTACATAGCAAGACCCATGTCTCTATAAAAAATACAAAAATTAGCCAAATGTGGTAGCACATGCCTGTGGTCCCAGCTACTTGAGATACTGAGGAGGGAGGATTGCTTGAACCAGGAGTTCAAGGCCGCCGTGAACTATGATTGTGCCACTGCACTCCAGCCAGGGCAACAGAGTGAGACCCTGTCTCAAAAATAATAATAATAATGTCCTTTTCTCTTTTTCTTTTCACATTTATTGAGAAAGCTACCTCTTCTCCACTTTTGCAAAGTGGGAACAATATCTTGGCTGTATTCATTCATTTACTTATTTCATAAATACTTAACGAATGCCTACAGTATATAAGACATACCAGGTATCATGGTTGGGAAGTAGCAATAAGGAATGAATGGGGAACATAAAAATGAAAAAGACATAAATCCTTTCCTCTGTTGCTCATAAGAAATAAACACAAGGCCAGGCGTGGTGGCTCACACCTGTAATCTCAGTGCTTTGGGAGACCGAGGAGGGTAAATCACGAGGTCAGGAGTTCGAGACCAGTCGGGCCAACATGGCGAAACCCCATCTCTACTAAAAATACAAAAATTAGCCAGGCATGGGGGCGTGCACCTGTAGTCCTAGCTACTCAGGAAGCTGAGGCAGGAGAATCGCTTGAACCCGGGAGGCGGAGATTGTAGTGAGCCGAGATAATGCCACTGCACTCCAGCTTGGGAGACAGAGTGAGACTTCGTCTCAAAAAAATAAATAAATAATAATTTAAAAAACACAAAATAACTACAAGGCAGTTTAATATCAGTATCATAAGAAAAATGCAATATTTTTCTCCTGGACAGGGCATTAACATAGAAACTGTGAGGGCTCTTGAGGGACACATAAGATATCCATAAAGGTAAGTTAGGAGAGCAAGATGGCTAATAACACTGAGGCAGAAAGAAGGAATAGCTTAATTGTACTGAAGTAAGGGGTAGATGTGGAAGAATAGCTGGAAATTCTGTACATTATTTGTCTTACAGTAAGGATGGTTTCTCTGCAATATTCATAATAGAATCTGCCTTTTGGTAAACCTTTTCAATCCTTCTATAGACTTGGTGGGAAAGATTGAAAATCACAATTACTAATCAGTACTTTTTCTTGGTTTATTTCTTCCTTTTAAATGGGAGTAAAATAGTATCTAATTCCTGGGGGGTTGTTCAGAACTAAATTAGTTAATAAATGTAAAGTAGTTATAACTGTTCTTGCAATGTATTAAGGAGTGTAAAGCCGTTTCTTATGCTGTTGTTGTGCTGAGGGTTAATTGGGGCCAATTCAAATGCTCCATATTCATTCCATGAAGATTTTCTAATCTCTTCAACCCACTCTGATCTTTAACTTTGCTGTACACCTAGTCAGTGTTACCTGGTTAATACTTAGTTATTTGCTAATGATTTTGTGTATTTTCATTTTGTGTTTTCGTTAGATCATAAATTCCTCTTGGCAGGGACCACAAATATTGTACAATTGTCAGTGTAACTAGTATGACCGAAGACACCTAATAGACACTCAAAAAATGTAGCTAAACTAATCAATAGCTTTCATATCTTAGAAGTGCAGGAGTAAATAGTATGAAATGTAAGGCTGCACATTCATTAATGGGAAATAAAAATTATAAATAACCTCAAAAGACATCTAAGAAGAACTGCTCAAATGAAGAGTATTTTAGCATTCAGTTATTCAACAGTATCAGGGAACATCTGTTAGACACCTACTATTATGTGTGTATTTGTCCATAATAAATTCATTATTTAAATATGAGGTTTTGTAAATGAGTGAGGCTCAGAGAGGTCCACAGTCACACTATCATTAATAATGACAAAGCTTGCCAGGCATGGTGATTCATGCCTGTAATCCCAGTGCTTTGGGAGGTTAAGACCAGAAGATTGCTTGATCCCAGGAGTTCAACACCAGCCTCGGCAACATAGTGAGACCCCATCTCTACATAAATACAAAAATTAGCTGGGCATGGTGGTACACACCTATAGTCCTAGCTATTCAGGAGGCTGAGGGTAGAAGATCACTTAAATCCAGGAGTTGAGGCTACTGTGAGGTATGATCATTCACTGCACTCCAGCCAGTGTGAAAAAGGGAGATCTTGTCTCAATAATAATAATAATGGCAAAGCTATGTCTGCCAAACTTCTAATAGGTGCTCTTTCTTCTGTAATACCTTCCATTGATATAAGTAAATTTGAGAAATAATTTCCATTTGGGGACTGAATAGACATTTTATATAATTAGCACAATTATAGAGACATAAAGTGAAAATAAGAAAAATCAAAATGTTTATTTCCAGAATCAGCTAAAGAAACAGAGCAGGAGTTATGAAATGTCAAAAACTGATTGATTTAAAAGGCTGAAATTCTGCAAATGTATTTTGAATTCCCAAAATACATTAATATTAACATTTTCCAGTAGTGAAACAAATGCTTTTTTACAGTTAGTATGGAAAATCTTGGACAAGTATTTATTATTGAGAGAATCAAATTTCATAACAGCAATCAAATCCTTTGATTTTTATTTCATGTTTTTAAGAATCAGCCTACACCCTTTCTTGAACCCCAAGAAGTGGGCCATTTCTTTGCTAACTTGGAGTAGAGTAGAGCTAATGCATCATTAAATAAAGCTTGTCTCTATGCCAAGTCCTTTACTCAGCTCTGGTTATTAACTTAGTTGATAGCATTGCATAAAGATGCTCTCCTCTTATTTATTCATTTATTCATTTTTCAATAAATATTTAATGAACACTCATAATGTGCCAGGCACACTTCTTGGAATACATCCATGGAAAAAAATGAAGATCCCTGGCCTTGTGGAAAAACTAAAAAGAAATTGGGGTTGTATAGGGGAGAGTAATCAAGAAGGTTACAATTTTAAACAGGCTGGTCAGGACAGGCCTCATAGAAAATATGACGTTTGAGCAAAATCTTAGAAGCCAGGAGGAGAATATCTAGAGGAAAGAGCATTCCAGGCAGAGAAAGCTGTTAGTGCAAAGACCCTAAGACAAAGTGCTCCCAACATGTTTGAAGAATAAGGACTCCAATACATCTGTAAAGAGGTAAGAGCATTAAGAGAAGAAATATGTGATCAGTCTTCCCCCAATCCCCACAACCCAGGTGCAGAGGTTTTACCAGAGGCCGGGGTTGGGTGAAGACAAATCACACAGGTGCTTGTAGGCATTGAAAAGACTTTGACTTTAATTGGAGTGGAGAGATGGAAATGGAGAGCCTTTGCAAAGTTTTGAGCAGAGGAGTGACACGTGCAGTTGAAAATAAATAGCACATATTGGTGATGTGAATAACTCTTGGTAAAGTTCTGAACAAAACAAAACTGAATCTTCCCTTTTCTAGAAATTGGATCCCTAGAAAATTAAGTGCTGTATATGATAAAATCTTAAAAAAATACATAAATAAATAGTAAAAATCCATCCAATTACTTGTTCAAGGATAATTTAAAAGCATTAGGCTAGCCAAGGGAAAATGTCATTTGATGACACTTAAAATATACAGTCAATTTTTGCATTCTTAGGTATCAAGTATTGCATATTTATTAAACTTTTTATACTCAATGACAAATTTCACAATGATTATCTTAATTTTAATATGGAGAAATAATTCTCATTTCACCTAGGCTTAAAATAATGCCTTAATGTCTCATAATTAACTTTTTTGGTTATAAAAATAAAAAATATTAATAGCCATTAAAATGTGTTCATGAGTTTATCCAGCCACTATAAATCAGCAAGGTTAGTAAAATGTTTTTATCAAAGTTGTTTAATATCCAGAGTAGTTGGACTTTTTGGTTGTCACAAGGTTTTGGTATAGTTGAAAGTCCTCCTATAGAGAGTACATTAGCAGTCTCAGTTGCTAAAACAATGGAAAATTATTTTCTCACTGTTCTGGAGGCTAGAAGTCCAAGATCAAAGTGTTGGCAGATCTAGTTTCTTCTAAGACCTTTCTTCTTGGCTTGCCGATGGATTCCTTTTCCCTGTGTTCTCACATAATTACCCCTCAGTCTGTAGGTCTGTGTATTGTCTGCATTTGAATCTCCCCTTCTTATAAGGACACCAGTAATACTAGATCAGGCCTACCTGCATGGACTCATTTTATATCAATTATATCCATAAAGGCCCTATCTCAAAAAACAGTCACATTCTGAGGTACTGGGGGATTCAAATTTCAACAAATAAAGCTTGAGGGGACACAAGTCAGCCCATAACACATAGTATAAAGACCCAAATGATTTATCTGATGGAAACAAGACTCAGGATCAAAGCACACAATGACCTCACTAAGCACCAAAGCAGGAGAACCAAAACATGTTTTTGTTCAATTATGTTCATTTGTTTGTTTATTGCAGATTTTTATATCTTAAAAACATTAAAATAGTTACCATAAAAAAGCAGAACTTTATTACACATTCTAATTCTTATTAGAATAGAGTCTTGTTAACTGGTGACTATAGGTCTTAGCCAGCCTGTGGAAGATCCTGAGTAAGGGCTAAGGGAGCAGCCCAGCCAAGTAGGTGGGTATGGGCGGCAGGGCTCTGCCTCTCATATGGGAATTGGAGTGCAGCCTAGTTATAGGCTAAAGAGAGTCAAATTGGAAGCCTGCCACTTTGAACAGGGGATGTCAAGCACTCACTCTGGGAACATCAGATACAAGAGACTTGGGATACCAGATTTGGTTTGGATTCTTCTAGGGTCATCATACGGCAAATCATAAAGTGATAGAAAGGCATAGGCTTCAAAGTGGAAAAGTCTGAATCAAAACACATGCACACACACACACACACACAAACACACACACACACATATATATATAAAACATGCTGATCGTGAACCTATTAGAATGTAATCGAACCTCTCTGGGTCTCAATTTCAATAAATATCTCTAAACACCAGAACACTAGCTCATTTTGTTTACTATCTTCATTTTTCACAGCTGGCTAGGACTAGAAGAGATAGTTACAGATAATTATGAATTAATTCAGTGGAAAATAAACCAGACCTAAATTGGTCCAAAAGCAATACAGAATATATCTTCAGCCACCAGTGCCCCCAAAAATCACATGTAATAAAGTGTATAGTTTCCTGGCTTTGCATTGTGTTATGAAAATAACAAAGAATAAAGGTATCTCCTTTTATTTCTATCCAAAGGTGAAATCACCCCTGAGCACTAAATATTAGATTATTCTCTGTCTTGCTTAAACATTTGCTATTGCCATAGAAGCATGATGTTGACATTTCTTGTTGCTAGGAGCGTCATAGTGTTGGATACGTATACAATAGCATTCTGTTAGCTCAAACGTGGGGCTTTTTAAACAGCAGCATGCTCTTTTTATATCCTGGTACAGTAATCTAAAGTATAGATTTACCATGCAAATTATACATGAAAATCTGAATTTACTACTACACAGAAATAAAAGCACCAATGCTTAATAATTTATCTTTAAGGAATATTTTTGCAGCATCTCAGAGTGGAAAAAAAATAAAAACCTTGAAACAAAGCAGATGCCCATCAGTAGCAGAATGGCTGAATCTATTGTGCTGCATACAAGCCACAGAATATCATGGAATCTTTAAAAGGAATAAATTATAGCTATGCCAATTGACATGAAAGAGTTTCTACCATGCGTTATCAACTGAGAAAAGCAAAATGCATAAAATTGTTTATATACACCAATGTTCATAGCAGCATTATTCACAATAGTCAAAAGGTAGAAATAACTTGTGTCCATTGATGAACGAATAAAAAAAATGTGGTGTATGCATACAAACGAATATTATTTAGCTTTTAAAAAGACAGAAAATTATGACACATGTTTACAATATGGATGAACCTTGAAGACATGCTAAGTGAAATAAACCAGTTACAAAAAGACAAAGACTGTATGATCCCAAATATATGAGGTAATAGAGTAGTTAAATTTATAACCACAGAAAGTAAAATGGTGGTTGCCAGGGGCTGAGGGAAGGAGGAAAAGCATAAATGTTATTTAATGGGTATGGAGTTTCAGATTTGCAAGATGAAAGGCATTCTAGAGATTGATTGCACAAGAAAGTGAATGTACTTAACGCTATTAAACTGTACACTTAAAAATTGTTAAGATGGTAAATTTTAAATTGTGTATATTTTACTGCAATTAAAAGTAAATTTTAAAAATTGGGAAAATGTTTTATATAAAAATAATGCCAATAAACTCTCTTTATACATATAAATACATATATAACCTACTGTAAATAGAGAAAATTTGGAAGGATGACACCAGGTTGTCAAATGAGTTACCCTGTATGAATGCAAACTAGAGGGAATAGTAGGTCGTTCAAATAAATCAAGAAAATAAATGATATAATCCCTACATTGGAGGCAATGGGAGTTCTCTACAGAGTGATACTCGGAGGCCTTTATTGGCCGTAGTGCTTTTTAGTACGTCTTGAAATATATCTTTAGCCACTAATGCCTACAAAGTCATATGCAATAAAATCTATGACCCCCAGCACTGAAAATCAGCTTCCCAGCTAACTGAACTCATAGTTCAATGTAGGGATCTATTTTGTTGCATCAGTTTAGAAAATTTTGCCAGATTTACACTTCTGAGAACTAATCTAAGCCAATTTGATTATCCACAATGACTGTTTTGGTAGCTTCAAAGAGTTAGAGCTAGGTGAAGTTGAGTTGACCAAAACCTTACCACCAGAAAGAAGTTTATATTTTAAAAATATTAAAATAATCGTCATGAAAAAAGCAGAAATTCTGCCACACATACAAAGATGTATTAGCAAGAAGGCACAAAAAGTTATTCACCCTGCTATATAAACCTGATGAAGTATGTTGCATAGAATATGTTGCAGTATTCTAACAGTGGGATTCAGCTAACTTTCAAGAAAGTCAGGTGACAAAAATCTACTCTAAGTAGCAGTATTGCCTTTATAATCTAGGAGAGGAATCTCTTTTTGGAGCCCAGCACCTTAAAGAGCCCTGAATATCATAACACATACCAAAAAATTAATTTATTAAGGAACAAACGGTCACTTCTATCATTTGGAATCCAGCACTCCGTGTTGGCATAGTGTAACTCTAAACATTATTCCAGCAACTAAGAGCTCCAGGAAAATTCTTCTCCTACGCCCTTGAGACACAAGGTTTGCAGGTTGTACTACTTTATGCCCATGCCAGCTGCTTCTGAGTGAGAATAGTTTATTTTTTTGAAATGTTTAATACAATCTGATTATAGTTTCAAAATATTAAGCTTAAAATGTCAAATTTATATGAATGATTTTGTTTTTAAATTAGAAATTTATTAATTATAATTTAATTTTTAATTTTATGATATTTCTAAATATTTTAAAACAAAATGTACAAAAACTTTAATTTTCCTATTTTTAACATGTATTTGAAATACATTTTATAAAATATATTCAGATTTGGTTGTTAAATACAGTTGTACTTTGAATACAACTACATTTCAAATACTTTGATCCAATAGAACATAGGTTATGTGACAACCTTGATGGTGACAATCTAACTGAAATATAGGCAAGAAAAAATAATTTTATGGAATAAATATACAATGATCTACAAATTATATATCTCTATTTTATTAATCATCAAAAACATCATTCCTCCATCAACAGAACACCAAACAATAATTACATTTGATCTTCGTGGATCAAAGTTAATTTAAAAATATTTTGCCAACCTAGTGTCTTATGAAAACTATACATACATTGTTTGTTTGTTTGTTTTTTTGTTTTTTGAGACAGGGTCTCACTCTGTTACCCAGCCTGCAGTGCACTGGCGCAATCACAGCTCATTGCAGCCTTAAACTCCTGGGCTCAAGCAATCCTGCCTTAGCCTCCTGGGTAGCTGGAACTACAGGCATGCACCACCATGCCCAGCTGAAAACTATGATTTGACACATATCTTTTAATTTTATTATTATGAAGATATATTTTTCAAGCTAGGAGACTAGAACATATTTTATTTAAGTTTGTTAGCTTGATTTGCAATCTTTAAAACTTCTGAAATATGGCATGTAAGCCTCTATTTTTACTCTTGCTTCAGGCCACCTAAATCCCCTGAACACTGGGTCTATGAGGATCCTAAGGTTAGGGCACCTAGAGAATAGGCTACCAGTTCAAGATAACACCATTCTCAGGTTAGTCAAAAATGGGGAAAGACAATACACTATTTTTAGTCAATACACATATCCTGAACTTCATTAATTTTACCAAGAAAGAAATCATTTCCACATCCATTGCCCTAGTTAACAAAACTTTGGTATTAATTAAAAAAATAAACATTAAGATTAAATCTTCATAGGAAAAGCATTAGATTAGTCTTTCATATGCTAACTAACCACCCCTGGAGAATGCCTTCCTAATTCGGGTTTTTCAACTGTTAACTTGACTGCCCCTAGGGTGCAGATTACAATTAACTACCACACTATATACTCCTCTTTAAATTGTAGTATTTTAAAGTAAATTATAGCAAATATAACAATTACCATATATAAGGGCTTTATAAATCAAGAGTTCTGCCATTAAGTAGCAAATTTTTTTTTTTTTTTGAGTCAGAGTCTTGCTTTGTCATCCAGGCTGGAGTGCAGTGGCGCAGTCTCAGCTCACTGCAAACTCCGCCTCCTGGGTTCAAGCAATTCTCCTGCCTCAGCCTCCGGAGTAGCTGAGAGCACAGGCGTGTCCCACACGCCTGGCTAATTTTTTGTATTTTTAGTAGAGATAAGGTTTCACCGTGTTAGCCAGGACGGTCTTGATCCTGTCCTTGTGATCCGCCCGCCTTGGCCTCCCCAAAGTGTTAGGATTACAGGCATGAGCCACTGCGCCCAACCGCAAATCTTTAAGAGGTCCTAGCAACTACTTGATTCAGACAATGGCAGACTTTTCTCCGAAAGATCAGAATTCATTCAGTTCTATCCTAGGATGCCTTCTCAGAAAGCAGCAGGTTGAGCCTTTGTTTCATCTCTACTGTACTGCACCACGCTGTGAGCACAGAATAGAAAAGTCATCTCTCTTTATGGCTGGTAAGTGGATGCTGCTCATAGTAGATGACTAAACTCTAAAGAGGTTAGAAATGTCCCAGTGGTTACCAGCTCTTCACAGACACCTCTCAGATCATGACACACAGCTGTGACAGTGACTGCCTCCTCACTGAACCCAATTTCTCCAGTTTAGTATTCAAAGCATGAGTGTATTTCTGTATCCAATTCCTATAATTCAGCTCATTTCATCTTTGAGGACCTCAAAGGTCTTAGTTATCAAATGATTTGAATAAAATGATGACTTAAACCACATTTTCCGAAAGATAAACTCCTAACACATTCCATCTATCTTGGACACCACCTCCTCTTGGAACAAGACAAGTCCCAGTGAAGTAGAAACTTAAACCCTAACATGGTTTTGTTCTAGTAGAAATAATGGAAGGCTTATATTGCAGGCCATTTCTCTATTCCACTCCATTTTTCTAATGTTTCCAGTCCTTGACGGTTTTTAGCCTTGAATTTTCTTTCTTATCAACATCTCTCTGTGTGTGTCTGAGCCTTCACGGGGACCTTGAGTTGCAGGGGTACATCAATTCCTTCTATTTATCAGCTAGCTGTTGGAGTGCCTGTGAAAGAGAGCCTCCGCACTGCTTCCAGAAAGGCCAAAGCTGCATTAGAGTTTCCAGATCCCGTATCTACATTGTCGCTATACAATATTTTGCTTTGCTTAAAGAGCCTCTGCTTCCTGTCCAACATAAATAACTGGAAGAGGCTGAGTTAGGGTGATCAAACAATCTGGTTTGCCTGGGGCTGAGGGATTTCCTGGGACATAGGACTTTCAGTATTAAAACTGGAAATGTATTGTGCTAACCTGAACTAGTTTGTCACCCTAGTTGGATGACTGATTGGATTCTAGCAAATCTGGCATAGATTGGAGTTTTAATGTAGAGCAGTTCCAGCCCGAGTCTGGTACAAGCAGTACTAACACATTTCCCATGTAAAAAGCTCCTCTGGCTAGTGTCTTTTGCACCCAGGTTGTAGCCTTAGAAGAAGAAAACTTCTTGAAAAATTTTAAAAATTAACTTTCACAGTCTTCTAGCTCTTCACTTACTCAAAAGCCTATTCAAGAGTCCTTAAGCATTTTGCCACTGTCATTTGTTTTGAAGATATAAGTGACCTCAAACCTGGGCCTCTATAGCATTCTGTTAACATCTGGCATTTCCAGGATTCTAATATTTGTTCAGTTACTAACAGCTCCTCATTCGCATGCTTCTCAGTTGAGCTATCCTTAAGCTCTTCTCTTCATTTTCTTCTCTTGTAAACAAAAAGGTTTCTACTGACTGAGAATAAATTGTAAGGGGTTTCCTTATTATTAGGTAGAGCACATTTTATCCAAAGGATTTCAAAAGCTAAAATTATTAATTCAACAAATATTTATTGAGCAGTTCCTACGTTATTATTAGCACTGTGTTGAGTGCTCAGGATACAAGAGTGAACAATGCAAGCACAATCTGCTAGTCTAGTAAGGGTTGTTGAGAAGTAAATGAGCAGCAATAGTGTGGTAAAAACTATGAAGGTCAAGTTCCAGAGCTATAGGAGCACATGGGAGGAACAACTAACCCAGATTTGGGGGTCATGCAAGAATAAACAGATGATTAGCACTTACCTGTTCATGTATTCATTTATTAATTCAACAAATATTTATTGATATTTTAACATATATCATGCATTGTGAATGTCATTGTAAATAAGTGAATGTACATATGACATAGTATTTATGTTGAAGCAGTTTCATAGTCTAGAATGAAAAATACATGTAAATAAATAATTATAATATGATGTAGTAAGTGCTATAATAAATGTTACCAAGGAAGATTTCACAAAAGAACTTATGTTTGTACGGGATTGTACTTGACCTGGAAGGTTGAAGAAGAATTTAGGGGAAAATGGTGAAGAAGGGCTCTGCAGGCAGAGACAACAGCCTATGGAAATACATAGAGGTATAAAAGAATATGACCAGTAAGGTAACTACAAGCAATTAGGTGTGGCTAAGGGAAAGGCGTTGTAAACAATGGTAGACAATAACTGAAATGGTAGGCGGCATCAGATCAGAGAAGGCCTTTTATGCCCCTTAAGGGGTTTGAATTTATTCTGGAAATTATGGGAAGTCACTGAATAGTTTTAAGTCAGGAAGTGACCTTTTCAGATTTGTGTTTTAGAAAGAGATCCATAAAGATTGTGAAAGTGGACTGGAGGAAGAGACAATTTCTTTGATCTTCAAAACCACCCTGTGAAGTGAGCATAGCAGATATTTTTCACTCACATCTTATATATAAGGAACGAGGACTAGAAAATGTTAGGTGATTTGCCTAAGGTCCCCTAAGTCATTCCAAAATTGAAGAAAATCAACACTTTGTCCAGATAGCAATATAGGTGGAAACCTCTATGCAGTTCACCTTTGGATTTAATCATCCTATCCTTGAAAAAAAAATCTTTAAAAGCTAATACTGGTTGCACCGTTGATTCCAATTAGTTTTGCAAAATCGATTGGATAGAATTTATGGCATCGTCTGATGATTTGAAGCATCAAATTGCTCCATAATATGCTTTTCTATTTCCTAGACAAAGGTCTGGATCATTCATATTTTTGAATGTTATTCTAAATCTAAGTCTTACATTCTAGGCTGCAAATGAACCATGAAAATAATCCAGCTTTTTAAACTGGAGTTAACAGGAGGCAACTCCTTTAAGAAAGTGACATTTTTATCTTCTTGTGTTATAAACATGTCAAAATTGTCGACACTGGCGCAAATCTGTTTCTTCTGATATTTTAGGGATATTATAGGTGGCAAATAATTGTGAGATAAAGCTTGATTTTGTTTTCTTCCCCTCTCAGTTTTATAAATAAGTGCAAACAAGCCAAGTTATAATTTCCTTTTCCCCAAAAAAAGTCTGCATTCAATACTTAGTTTTTCAGAAAATGTACTAATTATAATAAATATTAACGATTATAAGTTCATAGAAAAACAAAACATAGTCGTTTAAGTTATTCCTGGAACATCTGGATTTTATTAAGAGATGAAGGGTGGCCAGGTGCAGTTGCTCACACCTGTAATCTTATTACTTTGGGAGGCCAAGGTGGCAGATCACTTGAGCTCAGGAGTTCAAGACCAGCCTGGCCAACATCGTGAAACCCCATCTCTTCTAAGAATACAAAAATTAGTGAGGTTTCGTGGTGCAGACCTGTAATCCCAGCTACTCAGGAGGCTGAAGCAGAATTGCTTGAACCCGGGAGGCAGAGTTTGCAGTGAGCCAAGATCACACCACTGCACTCCAGCCTGCCAGCCTGGATGACAGAGTAAGTCTCTGTCAAAAAAAAAAAAAAAAAAAAAACAGACAGAAGTAAAGCATAACAATAAATCTGTACATCTTAGTAGTAAGGGAAGCTCAGTTTACTAATTTTTCCTCTATAACAGCAATTCTCAAAATGCGGTCCCAGGGCCAGTAGCATCTGCGTCATCTGGGACTTGTTAAAAATAAAAATTCTTAACCTGTACCCCAGACTTACTGAGAGCCATGGAAGCAAAAGCAGCAATTTGTTCTTTAAGAAGCTGTCCAGGTGATTCTGCGCTAAAGTTTGAGACACATTGGTGTAAATTTAAAAAGCATGTTTCAGACTACGAAAGACCTGGTTTCAATTCCAACCTTAACTAGATGATTTTGGATACATCATCTAAGTTTTCTGGTGCCAAGGTTTTCTTATCTGGTTAATAACTTATCCTTGTCACTGCCCTTATAAGTATTACAAATACTACCTGATAAGTGATATTGCTCATTTGCTTACTGGAAGGCTTCCCTCTCCAAGTGATTCAGACGCATGCTTAAGTTTGAGAACCATTTGTTTCAAACTTACGGTCTATAAGATGCCATACATTGGAAACAGAATCAGCTACACAATTTGCAAGATCCATTGCAAAATGAAAATGTACAGTCCCTTGTTCAAAAACTGAGAATTTCAAGAGGATGAGAACAGAGCATTAAACTAAGTATGGCACCCCACTAAGCCCAGCCCTATGAATGCCCAGCCTTTGAATGTCCAAAGACAAGTTTCTGCTTCTATCTAATCACACCTTCTTTTTTTAGAAGAAAATAATATAATGCCATGAAAGTAGGCCACATTTCCTCCTTAGACACTGCCATTCTTACCTCCTGAGCTGTTGCCCTCCATAGACAGACATGATCATTAGCTTCCTGGTTTTTGCTCATTCTGTTGTCTTCCTTTTAGCTATTCAAATATATTTGTACCTCAAGACCCAACTTAAGGTCCCTATCTGCCATGAAATCCTTCCTTACCACCTTAACCTACTAATCTGTCTTTTTAAACTTATCTAGTACTTATTTTATACAAAACATTTAGCTCTTTTTGTATATATTGAGTGCTGATCACTGTGGTCATATTGTTTCTTGAGTTTGAATATAAGCATCTTGAGCTTTGAAACAGTGTCATCATTGTACAATGGAAAGGGCACATACTTTTGAGCTCAATAAAGCTTGGGTGTAAATACTCTCCCATTTACTTGCTGTGACTGAAGAAATTAATCAACTTTTGAGTCTCAGAATCTTCTCTGGGAAAATGGGATAATAAAACCTAGTTCATTGGGTTGTTGTGAGGATTCAATAATATATGTAAAGCCCTTGGCATATATAAGGGCTCATCAAATATTACTTCCTCTATCACATGCATGCCTCCATATATCTGATTTTGCTTCAGCCAACATCCCAGTGCTGAGCACAAAGGCAGCATTCACTAAATACTTGCTCATTGGAAGAGATATACATATATCTTCCATTAAATGATAGATATATATTTAATGTACTATTTTACATTCACCCAAGAAGTAAACCAATCCTATGTTGAAGTTTTGTATGTTATCTCTGACTTGTTTGTAAGTTTTTGCCTTCACATGCTGACTTTTGTAAAAAAAAAAAGTCGAATTTTGTAGACTTCATATTTTCAAAGCATTTGCACAGCCATTATAGTATTAAAGACACTCTTAGTGGGTAAAAAGATAGATCTTATTCCCAGTCAAGAAATGGAAAAAACTGGCACTGGTGGCTAAGGAATTGTTCTAAATGACAGAACCAGTGTATTTTAATATACAGAAAAATGTCCAAGAGGCTTTATCTAAACTGAGATCTACTGACTCCTTTTCCATTGTTTTTTCCACTATACCAATCTCTTAGGCAAAAAAGACTATATCTGTAAAGTATACGCAGGAAAAACTATTTTAATTAACTAAAATAGTACAAATGAGTCTATTTCTTTTTATTCTGGGTACAGAGTAGGCACTTGATGACTGGATTAAAAACAGCACATGATATATCAATTGCAGTTCCTGGTTTACAGTTTTAAGTAATCGAGAGTGAGTTATTTAAACTGCTCTTTTTGATAAACATATTTTAAAGAGGGCTTTTTCTCCCAATGAAAATGTAAGAACAAGTTTCATTATTTTTAAGACAATTTCAATTTGGGGCCTAGCACATCATGCTTGAGAGCTGGTTTTTTCCTTATGCAAATGGATCCTTTCTCTAAACTGGTGCAAACCACACTTTGCCTGCCAAACTTATGACTCAAAGGCCCTGAAGGGTTTCTGTAGCCTCCCAGCCACAGCCCAGAAACCATAAGCTGTTTCCACGTGAAACATCCAAACACGGTCTCCCAAGCCTAAGTCTGCTACCATCAAGGCTTCTGTATAAAAGGCAAATGAGGAGGCAGCGCCCCCTTCTGCTCCCACCCCCTTCTGCTCCCACCCCCTTCATGTCAGCAGCAGCCAATCGCTTTTCTCTGTCGTGCAGTCGGCTCCTGGGATTGGCCAGGGACGGGACAGGCGCGGAACCACTGCGCGCACAGGCGGAGCGCGGAGACTTGTCCGTCACGTGCGGCCGCCCGGCCTCTCGGCCTTGCCGCGCGCCTGGCGGGGTTGGGGGGGCGGGGACCAAGATCTGCTGCGCCTGCGTTGTGGGCGTTCTCGGGGAGCTGCTGCCGTAGCTGCCGCCGCCGCTACCACCGCGTTCGGGTGTAGAATTTGGAATCCCTGCGCCGCGTTAACAATGAAGCAGAGTTCGAACGTGCCGGCTTTCCTCAGCAAGCTGTGGACGCTTGTGGAGGAAACCCACACTAACGAGTTCATCACCTGGAGCCAGGTACGGTCAGGCCACGGCGGCCTCTGAACCCCCTGAATAACCGCCTCCTCACTCGCTCTCCTGCGGGGTGGTCTCTCGCGGCCTTGCGGCTCGACGCTGTCTGCGAGGCCCGCGGTGCGGGGCCTTGGCGTTCAGCCTCGCGGGGGACCCCCTGTATTGTTCGCTCGGGGAGCCGCGGGGGCCCGGCCGGCAGCGCCGCTCTCCTCAGGCCGCGGTGGGGGAGGGGCGGCCCGCGCGGGGCGTAGCGGCCCAGGCAGCCCCTTAACGGTCCGGTCCGCGTTCGGAACCGGCCCGGCGTCGCGAGGGGAATCGGCGAGCCGAGGGCGCGGGAGCCTCTTTACTGCACACTCATCCTCCGTCCTCCCGCCCGGCTCAGGGGTTACAAATCGCGGAGGGGACAGGGAGCCCAGGGCCAGGATCATCAACGTGGGGCTTTATAGGAGGCGATCTTTACCTCAGCGACCGATCACCCCCAGTTCCCCCAACATTGCTTTGCATCTGGCATCTTTATGTGGAGAGCAGTCAGGGCAATAGACATACGTTCAAACGCAGGTTACTGCTTATCAGTTGGTTTTAAAAATATATAGAAATTAACAAATTATTCTTTTGAGATTCTGTGCTATTTGTATAATGGGATTATTAGGATTGTTTTAATAAAGTACTAATAGGTGGTAACTTAGTAGTTACTAAATTTCGCTGAACAGTTACCAGCAGAGGGGCATATCGATGTGTTGATTATTGGTTTGATCTCAACTCTGCTTCTAAACAAGCATGACCTTAGTCCAGCCCTTTATCTTGTCTGGCCTAAGTTAAATCTTTCATAAGATGGATGGGTTGCCTAGGTGACCCAAGACCTATATCAGTCCCAAATACAAGATTTTAGGCAGAATGATTATTTACATCCACAGTGCATGTGCATTAGAATACACTCCTAGGCTGTTGGAATCATTTTTATGAAGGAAAGTGGTTAACTCTTATTGTAGATGATCACCTATTGAGGCATATTTTCATATGTGTAGTTCTTGAGAAGAATAAGTGAAAACTACCTGCATAGTGCCTGGCACCTGTTAAGTGCTGAGTAAATGTTATCTCCCGTCCTCCTTTCTTTCCTGTTCTCCTATTATAGGAACTCTTAGTTTTATTTACTTTTGTCTTAACAGGGAGTGAGCACCATATTAAGACCCTGAAGTTTTGACTTCTGTAATACCATAGTTTGCCTTGTGTTATTATTTGTTCTTTTTTCCGACTTCCTTCTAGGATTTAATTTTTGTGTGTTCTTTATGAGCAACTGAGTTATCCTTTTAGCCCCACTCCCTGCTTGGAGTTGAGTAGGGGGGCGTGAGTGTTTCTATTAAGCATTTAATGAATTCTGTACAATTGTACAAAGCTAGGTGAAAATAAGAAAGCCAGCCACTAGCATGTACTTAAAATAAACACATGTCTCATGCTTTTCATCAGTTAGAAGGATTAAAAGTTGACAAGAAGGATCAGTACAGACTGTTACTCAGACACGTATTCGTGTTAGAGATTGGACTGAGATTCTCTCCCCACGAAAGCTGACTTTATCATACCTTTTTGTCTTTTATGGGCCAGAAATAGGGGCTATATATATTGGCAGTTGCTTTTAATCAGAGTATCATGTCAGTGGTAGGCCTATTAAATTCTGATTAGCAACAGTGTTTTAATAACATTCTTATTTTCTGAGTACTGTCAAATGTGGAGAGTTTCGTACTGATCCGTAAATGCATCATTCTATGAGTTCTAAGCCAAATAAACAAGCCACTTAACCATTTTTTAATCCCATTATTAACTTTAAGCTTATGTGTTAACCAATTTTCTAATATGCCAGTGGGACAATCAAAATGTAAGCTCAGTGAGATCACTGTGCCAGAGACACACTAGGTGTTTAATAATTGTTTGATGAATAAATGAGATCCCTCGAAAATGTAATGGAGTGGTAGGAATGATGAAGATAAAATTATATTTGAAATGACTCTTAGAGATCATCTAGGTTAGCCTTATCATTGTATAGATGAGGATTTGAGGCTTGGACAGGTGAGATTATTTATCCATAATTATACAGCTCGCCAAGATTGGAGATAAGACCCTAACATAAGCTTGTCCAACCCGAGGCTCACATGTGGCCAAGGATGGGTTTGAATGCGGCCCAGCACAAATTCATAAAGTTTCTTAAAGAAACATGAGATATTTTTGCAATTTTGCTTTTAAGCTCATCAGCTATCATTAGTGTTAGTGTATTTTATGTGTGGCCCAAGACAATTCTTCTTCCAGTGTGGCCCAGGAAAACCAAAAGATTGGACACCCCTACCCTAATAGATTTCTGAGCTCCCAGATCAGTCTTCCACCAATAGAACTAGACTTAATGCAAGTTGACATCATATTTAGTTTTATACCAAAATGTTGCTTGCCACAAGTCAATGGACAATTCTGAATAAATGTTGTCTAGGGCTAAGCCTAGTTGCTTAGGCAGCTGTCTCATTTGTGCTCTCCATGGATTTTTCTAAAAGCAGTGCTAATACTGAAAAGTAAAACTTTAACAATAATGTTAGGTGGAAAAACCAAAATAAGTTACTTTCATCTTTCTCTTTTCTTTGATGAATAAATGAAACCCTAGAAAATGTAATGAGAGTGGTAGGAATGATGATATAATAGTCCTCAACAGGCTTTGAATTTCCAAGTGGCAGAGACTATATCACACTATATCATATTCGTTTTTTTTTTTTGTGGTAGAGTATCACTCTGTCACCCTGGAGTACGGTGGCACGATCTCGGCTCACTGCAGCCTCTGCCTCCTGGGCTCAAACGATTCTTCTGCCTCAGCGTCTCGAGTAGTTGTGATTACAGATGCGCACCACCATGCCTGGCTAATTTTTGTATTTTTAGTAGAGACAGTGTTTCACCATGTTGGCCAGGCAGTCTCAAACTCCTGACCTCAAGTGATCCACCCGTCTCGGCCTCCCAAAGTGTTGAGATTACAGGTGTGAGCCACCGGCGCCCAGGTACTCTCATCTTTTGAAAGTTGCTATTTATGGTGGTTTCTGGTTTCCTTCAAACTTGTGTTGTATTTCTGTTGAGGTAATTTAGCATTTATACTATGAAAATCATTGAGAACTTTTAGAAGAAGCAGTTGTTTTGGGAACCAGACAAGCTTTTGTGCAGTTTTTTTTTTCAATGGTGGAAAATAATTTATTTCTCTACCTTGAGTGTAAGGCAAGGGAAAAAAAACTCTTACCAATTGCGTTTTGGAAAACGCAGTTGGTAATATCTCTAGATAATATCTCTGGAGACGTACATAACTTTAATTTTCCTCGAAATTTGCAATATGACAAAATTGAAAAGGGAAATAATACCTCTCACCATTAAATACAAGAATATAATAATCTGAACAATTGAAATTATACTTAAATATGTTATTGACTCTAAAATAATAGAAATGCCTTAATTCCAGACAGTCTTTAAGAAAGCATAATGTGGCTAGGCGTGGTGGCTCATGCCTGTAATCCCAGCACTTTGGGAGGCCAAGATGGGCAGGTTGCTTGAGCCCAGGAGTTTGAGACCAGCCTGGGCAACATGGTGAAACCCTGTCTCTACAAAAAAATACAGAAAGTAGCCAGGTATGGTGGCGTGCATCTTTAGTCCCAGCTACTCAGGAGGCTGAAGAGGGGAGATGGCTTGAGCCCATGAGGCAGAGGTTGCAATGAGCTGAGATCACACTACTGCAAGCCAGCCTGAACAACAGAACGAAATCCTGTCTCAAAACAACAACAACAAAAAACAGAAAGAAAAGAAAGTATGTTTTACATATTTCCATTTTCTCCTTACTCTTCTGAAAAACAAAAATGAAAAGTTTTCATTTTTTTTAACATTTCCTTTAAATGTAAAATTTTATATAACTGTTCTTGGCTTTGGTAGTCTGTTGTCAGAATCAAGTACAGAGATTGTACTGTCAGACGACCTAAAACTGTTTTAAATCTTAAGTGTCCTAAAGAGAGGGCACATATTAGCTTGGAAGCAACTGGTGAAACTTGATATTCAGAGACAAGGCCGTAGAGGTTAAATGAAGTTATATAGTAAAAAACAGCCTTTACGAGTTAATGAAATGTTACAACCAACGTATGCTGAAGTGAAGCAGTATAAAAGAAGGAAAGAACTGGAAGGTCATCCTTTTGTCAGTGTTGTTACCTTTGTCTCTGTTCTTCAGATTGTTTGAGAAAATGAAGTGATTTCCACCAAAGACTTCATACCCAGCTTTCCCCCCTTTTTGTGCCCTTTGGCATTCTCTGCTTCTCTATCCCCCTCATGTCAGCAGAGATGAATTAGGAAATAGGTAGGAGGGAGAGAGAGCAAAAACAGAATTTTTCCATTGTTTTCTAGCTGTTTTGGATGAATTTGAGCAGTAGGCCCTTGGACTTCACAAAGTGCTAGTATTGTTTTGAACATCCCAGCAACCATTGCATTATATTAGTATTTCAAAGTGAAAATAAGAAAGACTACAAGTGTGGGAGGATGGGGGTAAAATCCAACTTAGATGGACCTGCAGAAAAGTTGAAAGATTGATTTTCAAGTATTTTTATTTGTATATATAAGAGAAAGAATGAGCTAAAGACTCTAAAAGAGTAGCTGGTGCATATTAAAAATTATAGATTAGCAAGCCACAAATTTCTGTTCCGAAAAATGTTTTAAAGTAATGTGGCTGAAGTATTAGATTATTAGGAATATTTTGAGTGTTCTAACAAGAGTGCCAAAATTAATTTGGAGAGTAACGACTGTTTCTACTCTTTGGACTCTTGCCAACATTTGTGGGTAAGGTTTAAGGAGAAGGTGCCTATCTTTCCCACCTCACTCAGTAGTAGTTTTCTCATCCTTGTAAAATACTTAGGGAGATTCTGTGTTGTATTGCTTGAACCTCACAGGTTTAAAAGACAGGAAGGTGAATTTTTGCACTCAAAGAAGTTATTTACTAATTTTAGAATAGAGACTGAGGGAATACAATAAGCAGAGATAGAGTGATATGAATGAATAAGGAGTGTATGTGAGAGAGAGTGAGCACAGGTATAGCAAGAGATTATTGTCATCTCCCTATTTTATATAATCAAATAGTTGAAATTCTAAAAATTCAGTTTATTTGGCCAAAGATTAATTTAGTCAGTCACAGGTATTTGTTATGAATCTGTTATGACCTAATATTGTGCTAGGTATCAGGAATTCATTCAGTAGTGAACCAAAGTGCCTACCTTTATGGAGCTTACATTGAGTGGTGGATATCAATAAATAGTAAGCAAATACAAGCTGGGTATGGTGGTGCATGTCGTAGTTCTGGGTACTGGGGAGGCTGAGTTGGGAGGATTGCTTGAGCCCAGGAGTTTGAGGCTAGCTTGGGCAACATACTGAGACCCCTGTCTCTTAAAAAAAAAAAAAAAAAAAGTAAAAGCAAGCAAAACACAATCAATATAATTTCAGTTAGTGATAAATGCCTTTAAAAAACACCAAGATAAACTGTGTGTCGGTTAAGATGCAATCATAAGTCAGAAGCCACAGGTATTTTCAAGAGGGTAAGTTTAATAGAGTTACTGACTATATCAGGGAAATTAAAGAAAATTAAAAGAATACAAGAATAGTTTTAAGAAGCAGCCACTACTGATAGGGCTGAGATAGAGTGCCCAAGTAAGAACCTTTTTTGCCAAGGCTAAGATTCTTACCTTATTGGAAGGAATATGGCCATGACTCAGTAGCAGAGCAGTCACTGGTGTTGCTCTGGTGGAACTTACTGGAAATGCATCCTTCAAAACTTGGTGGGAAATATGCCCTCTAGGTCACGGGTTGGCAAACTGTAGTCCTTTTGCCAGCTGTTTTATAAAAAAAAGTTTAAATAGAACACAGCTATGCCCAATCTATTTACATATTGTCTGTATCTGCTTTCTCACTACAAAGGTAGAGTTATGATGTTATAATCTGCAAGCCTAATTTACTATTTGTCCCTTTAAGAAAAAGTTTATAAATCCCTGTTCTGGAGTACTCTAAAAAACTGTTTATGGGGAGATATCTTGTTAGAGATACTCTGCTTTGAAACCTCCCAAGGGAGAGGAAGCACCAGTGAAAGCTGATGGTCTTTGAGTGTTGCTGACCACCATTAATATCAAGAGCTAGGCACTGGAGAAGCTGCCTCCACTGCAGAAGCTTGCCAAGGATACATGAGTCAGGAACAAGAGCTCCTTTTTCTTGTAATATCTCTCTTTTATCCCCTGCTGACAGAACTTAACATCATGGCACCTAGAAAAAGAAAGATATTTATTTAAGGAACCAAGCTCTATGCTTGTAGAGCAGACAATGAAGAATGAATTTGGAGCAATAAATTGATAACTGGCCCATAAACAGACTAGGATTTGTGAATATTTTAGGTAAGGTGATGAGGAAAGCCTCTCCAAGGAGACGATGTTTGAGGAGAGATCTAAATGATTAGAAAAGATGGGCCAAAGGGGAATGACAAAAGGTAAGGCCTTGAATGTGGCTGTTCAAGGAAGCAGGAAGGCCCATGTGATTAGAATATCTTTAGGGAATTAGGAGAGTGAGAGTAGGGAGGTAGGCAGGAGCAGATGGTATAGGGCCCTAGATCTATAGTAAGAAGATTGGAAATGAGGGGACCAGTTAGAAGACTATCACAGTTTTCCTGTATGGTATTGAAAATATTGATGGCTGAGACTAAGGTAGCAGCAGTCAAGGTATTGAGATGTAGCTTTGAAATCTTTGAAGGCAAAGCTGCAGGATTTGCTGATAAATTGATAAATTGGCTATGGTTGGAGGAACGACAATTAAAAATGATTCATAAATTTGGTTTGAACTACAGGATAAATCCATTTGCTGAGGAAAGATGTTAGAGATTCTTTTTGGCATATTAACTTTGAGATTAAAAATGGATCTCTAGTAGTATTTGAAACAACTTGAAAATTGTTTAATTTTTCTTAAATTTGACCATGCCTAGTCATATGGCCACACCTAATTTCAAAAGGGATGAGGAAGTGCAGTGCTAGAAAAAAAAACAGGAGTATTTTTGAACAGCTTGACTGACTTCCACACTCCAAAATGTCCAAGTGGAAATGTTGAATAGGTGGTTGAGTATAAGACTTTGGCATTCAGGGTGGAGTTTAGACCTTGTAACTGGTAAAGCCAGGAGACTTAATGAAATCATCTTCTGTGAAGATAGAAGGAACCAAAAGATGTATTATTCCAACATTTAGAGAGTATGAAGACAAAAGCCAGCAAAGGAGGCTGAGACGGAACAGTGAAAAAGAAGGAAAATCAAGGGAGTGAACCCACAGAAGTTAATGAAAGAAAATGGCTCAGGAAAGAGATCAACTGTGTCACATGCTGTTAGGAATATTCTTGTATATCTCTCCTGGTGTATATAAGCAAGAGTTTCTCTAAGGTCTGTACACTCATGTGACTTGCTGGGATATAGGATATGAAATGTCTAACCTCAAGATAGTGTGAATTATCTTCCAAAGAGATCACACCAGCTTATTCCGCTATTAGCCATGTATGAGATTTTCTGTTAATCTGCCTCTTCAAAACTGTGTATTAGTTATCGTTCTTACTTTTTACCAATCTAATTGATGTAAAGCATTGTCTCAATGAGGTTTTGATTTATATTTTCTTGATTATTAATGAGTTCTAAAACCTTTTCACGTTCGTTGGCCATTTGTGTTTCCTGTTCTGTGAAATGTTTGTTTTGCCATTTTTCTGTTTTTTTTTTTATTATTTGTGAGAATTCCTATATATTCTACATATTCGAGTTTATGTTTTGGCCATATCTTCCAGTTTGTGGCTTTTTACATTTTAGTTGTCTAGCACCTTTACTGAGTAGTTCTTCCTTTTCCAATGATCTATATTGCCACTTCTATCTTACGTCACAAGTACGTGTAGATATTGTCTTAATCAGTTGGGCTGCCGTAGCAAGATATCATAGACCAGGTGGCTTCAACAACAGGCGTTTATTTTTTACAGTTCTGGAGGTGGAGAAGTCCAAGATGAAGGCAGTGGCCATTTCAGTTCCTGTGTTAGAGCTTTCTCTGCTTTGCAGACAGCTGCCTTCTCTCTGTGTCTTCCCAATGGCAGAGAGAGAGAGAGAGAGAGAGAGAGTGTGTTCTGGTCTCTCTTATCTTATAAGGACACCAACCTAACCTGGGGGGTCCTATCTTCATTACCTCCTCTGAACCTAATTACCTCCCAAAGGCTCTAACTCCAAATACCATCATATCAGGGGCAAGGGTTTCAACATAGAATTTTGGGGGACACAAACATTCAGTGGTTTTGTTTCTGGAGTCTTTATGCCATTCCATTGGACAATTTATCCTGTGCCTGTCTTCTGCTGTCTTAATTACTGTAGCTTCAGAAAAAGTCTTTTGGTAGGGTAATCTATCCTTCAGGAGTGCCTTAAGTATTTTTGGTCTTTAGCTCTTCCACATATGTTTTAAAATCAAGTTCCATAAAAAAAAAAAAAGCCTTTTGGATTTTTGCTGCAATTGGATCAAAACTATATAAATCAGATTAGGGAAAATCGATATCTCTGTGTTGTGTATTCTCATGACAAGGCATATTTCTAAATTCATTTTGTTGATTTATGTTTGCTATTAGGCCTTGTGGATCTTTGTTCATTTTCTTCCTGGATATCTTATATATGTTGTAAATGGTGTTCTTGACTTAAAAATAGATTTCTAGCTGTTGCTGGTAATTAGAAATACAAGTAATTTTTGTATATTGATAATAAATCAGTGAGCAAATCATTTTACTGATTTCAGTTTTCTGAGTACACCCATAGTATCTGTGATTGACATTTATTTTCTTCCTTTCAGACCTTTATGCCTTCCGTTTTTCTTTTGGCAGTAACTAAGAGTGAGTAGAAGCAATTATCATGGCATTCTGGCTTTGTTCTTAATTTTTAAAGGGAATGTTTTAATGTTTCCCCCTTACTAGCTGTTAGAATGAGAGTTTTTAACTTCATTTTTTTTTTTTTTTTGACATCAAATGTTGTCGGGTGACTTAGTGAGGAAGGGACTTGGTAGAATGGAAGACACAAGAAAAGATTGACTTCCGGGGAAACAGGAAATGGGTTTAGAACATACTGAGTTAAAGAACATAGTGTAAAAAATGTTAACATTTTAAATTGAAGTGTGTAATTTGAGATGATCAGGGACAGAGCTGTAGATGTGTTTATTATAAAATAAAGTCAATAATAAGATACCCTACTGTGGATGAATTCTAAGGAAAGAATATGAATGGTGCCACGATTAAGGATAAAAACCTGGAAAATACAGCTACCTCTTATTTGATAGGTGGAAGAAAATTGAAAGGAAATATAAGAGATAAGAGACTCAACAGTGTTTAGCATCAAAGCCCAGAGAGTCGAACATTTAAGGAGGAGATTGTTAGTTGTACCAAATGAAATGCCACAGAGAGGTGTAGGAAGATCAGGACTGAAAAGAGGGCATTGAATTTGATATTTGACATTTTAGAAATCTGGTTTCAGTCGAGTGAGGGAACCAAAAGCAGTTTTCAGTGAGAGTAAGTGGATGGTCCTGAATTGGAGAAGGGGGGTTTAAAATACCTGCTTGTTAAATTTTGCAGTTAAGGAAAAGACAGATGGGTAGATTGAAAAAGAAGGTATAAGAGGGAAAGTTCTTTTAAGATAGGAAAAGACGTATGCATTTTAAGCATTTTAATTTTGATAATTACCTAGTTGCCAATACTGGTTATTGTCAAGGGTTGTAAATTTAATCTAATAAGGGAAAATCATTATTTGTTTTGCTCTACATTCTTCATTTATGAGTCTGGGTCTCTTCTAAATTTCACAATGTGTTTTTCATCAAAATTGTGTTTCTGTTAGGAAGAAAGTAGAGGAGAGTAGAGATAGAGTAGGAAGCTAGCAGTCTCCATGGATAAATTTATATTTTATCTATATGTCTTCTGGGTTTATTATGTCATGTCTCCAAAAGCTTGCTTGTAAAGAGTAAGATGACATCGAGCTCTTATTTTTCTTCCCAAATGGAAAATTTCTTAATCCTTTTCTTTCCTGATTATCCCCCCATTTGAATGCCATCTTGACTTACTACCTGGTAAATTCTCAGATAGATTTGCTGGTTCATCTGTCCTCTCTAGTCAGTCCATTCATCTATGTAATCACTTCTTCTTTTGTACTAAATTGTTAACACTATAATTTTATAATCTGTATTGGGTAGGGTTAAAATACTCCTCCCCATTGTTCTCAATATTTTCTTTCCTGTTGTTATGTAATTATTTTTACAAATGAACTTATGTACCTAACATTTGGTTATGATAGCATCAATTCATCTTTACTCCACAAATCATTTTTTTAATTAAGACAGAATTTAATGTATTGGTTAATTTAGAGAGAATTGACACCTTTACAATACTGCATTTGTCTTCCTTTTGTATTTCTATAGTTTTAATATTTTTAAAGTTCCTGTATATTTTTAAATTTTATTTTTAGATACTTAACATTTTTCTATTATTATTGGGATATTTTATTCCATTTTAGTTTCTAATTTTTTTAATTGTGGTAAAATATACATAACATAAAATTAACCATTTTAAGTGCATTAAGTTAGATTCACATTGTTAGGCAACCATTACCACCATCCATCTCCAGAACAATTTTTATCTTTCCACACTGAAACTTTATACCCATTTCACAATAACTTCTAACTCCTTCCTCCCCGCAGCCCCTGACAACCACCATTCTACTTTTTGTCTCTGAAATTGGCTATTATGGAAACTTCATATAAGGGGAATTGTACAGTATTTGTTCTTTTGTGACTGGCTTATTTCACAGCATAATGTTTTCAAAGTTCTTTTCATGTTGTAGCTTGTGAGAATTTCCTTTTTTAGGTGAAATAATATTTCATTGCATGTATATACCATACTTTATCCATATATATTTCACCATGTGTTGGTGGATACTGAAGTTACTTCTACCTTTTGCCTGTTGTGAAAAATGCTACTGTGAACATGGGGTACAAATATCTGTTCAAGTCGTTGCTTTTATGGTTTTTTTTGTTTTGTTTTTTTGTTGTTGTTTTTGGGTTTTTTTTTTTTTTTTGAGTATATACCTAGGAATGGAATTGCTGGATTATATGTTCTTTGTTTAATTTTTAAAGGAACTATCATAGTGTTTTCCACAGCAACCACACTATTTTAACATTCCCACCAATAATGCACCAATATTCCAATTTCTCCACTTCCTTGTGAACACTTGTTTTATGCGTTTTTGATAATAGCCATTCTAATGGGTGTGCAGTGGTATATTGTTTTAGTTTTGATTTTCATTTCCCTAATGATTTGTGTTACTGACCATCTTTTTATTTGCTTATTGGAAGTTTGTATATCTTCTTTGAAGAAATATCTACTCACATCCTTGCTCGTTTTTTATCGGGTTGTTTGGGTTTTTTTTGTCTTTTGTTCTTTTTGAATTTTAAGAGTTATGTCTATGTTCTGGATATTAACTCCTGAGGTATATGATTTGCACTTTCTTCTTTCCATTCTGAGGGTTGCCTTTTCAGTCTGTTGGTAGTCTTTAGATTTGATGTAGTTCCATTTGTCTATTTTTGCTTTTGTTGCCTGTACTTTTAGTGTTACATTTAATAAATCATTGCCAAGTCTAATGTCATGCTCTACTATTGTTAAAAGTTTCTTTAGCTCTTGTGTTTAGGTCTTTGATTGATTTGAAGTTAGTTTTTATATATGTTATCAGATAAGGGTCTAACTTCATTTTTTTGTATGTAGATATCCAGTTTTCCCAGCACCATTTGTTGAAAAGACTGTCCTTTTTTTATTGAATGGTCTTGACACTGTTGTCAAAAATCCTTTGGCAGGGTTTATTTCTGGGCTGTCTATTTTATTTCATTGATCTATATGTTTGTCAGTATGCCAGTACCATGCTACTTTGATTACTTTATTTTTGTAGTGTTTCCAGGTGTTTGTTTTTTGTAGAGAAAAACACTAGTGACTTTTAATATTAATTTAGTAACCACGTATCTTACTGAATTCTTAAAGGGTTTTTAAATTGATTTTACAAAGATACAATTATGTCTACTATGTCTACTGCAAATAATTATAAAATGGTACTTCCTCTCAAAATCTTTTTTTTTTATTTTGGTCTTAATTGCACTAGTTTTAAAACAATGTTAATTATGCTGTCTACATAATTGTATTTCATTTTCTCATTGCTGGTTTAATGGAAGTTCTAATATTTCACCATAGAGTGTGATGTGGCATTTGGTTTGAGATATGTTCCTAAACTTTTGAGGTTGACATCAAAAAGCTTAGTTGCAATTTGTTGCTTAATTGCAATTTTGTTTCTTGTTCCTGTTGTCAAGAATAGAATGTTGGTCTGAAGACATCAAGGAGGGACTGGACTACTCAAGACAGTTGTGGGATGTATAAATATATCACCATGTGTCATAGGAACTTAACTAATTTACTTTTTCTTTTTTTTTTTCCCCTTGCAGAATGGCCAAAGTTTTCTGGTCTTGGATGAGCAACGATTTGCAAAAGAAATTCTTCCCAAATATTTCAAGCACAATAATATGGCAAGCTTTGTGAGGCAACTGAATATGTGTGAGTATGGACAGCAGTTTATTGGAGTACCATTATCAGCTACTGATGAAGCCATTTTTTTTCCCATTAGGGTGGTAAAGGAAAATTATTCCATACAAGCACCACCAAATTTTGACTTGTTTATTTTAGTCATTTGAATTTTGAATATTTTTCAGATGGTTTCCGTAAAGTAGTACATATCGACTCTGGAATTGTAAAGCAAGAAAGAGATGGTCCTGTAGAATTTCAGCATCCTTACTTCAAACAAGGACAGGATGACTTGTTGGAGAACATTAAAAGGAAGGTGAGCTATTGTGAACGTGAGCTAATTAGGGTATTGACCTGGAGTGTGCTTGGCCAAGATTTTTATTTCAGCTGTTGAAAGTACAGAAATGCACAACTGTTCCTTGTTGGGATGAATTAGGATAATAAAGTTTTACTTGTTTCCCTGTATTTTTTTCCTAAGTTAGCTTAAAAAAAAAAAAAAGTTTAAGTTCCTGCTAGAATATGAGCTCCCTGGAAGACTTTTTCTATAGTTTGTAATTGTACATCCAGTACCTACAATAAGTCTCTTCTAATAATATAAATATGCCCACATAGTAGGCATTCAGAAATACATTCAGTAATATATTTTTTAATGCATAATATCTTTTGGTAAAATAAGATATTTTACTAAATCTGTAAAAGGGGTGGACCATGAAAGAAAATGGCCTAGCATGAACCTTTTACTGCATAAATTTAATTAAATGTGGAATGTGGTAATAAAGAGGCTTGGGGGAAATTGCAAGGAGCTTGGCATAAGGGGAGAATAAAAGACTCTAAGATATTCCTGCTTGCGGAAACTTTTTAACATTAAAAAAAAATTTTTTTTAAGTAGATTATTCCTTGCGTTCTCTCCCATTGAGCTCTGAAGTTTATTCTTTCCCTAGCATTTCATCCCGGGCTTTTGGAACCAGATCTCACTTCCTGAACAGGCTACGAAAACCTCTTCTAATAGGGAAGCTTTGAATTACAATCATGGGTGTTTACTGTTTCTTTGATTTTCTAAATTTACTTTTTCAAAGGTTTCATCTTCAAAACCAGAAGAAAATAAAATTCGTCAGGAAGATTTAACAAAAATTATAAGTAGTGCTCAGAAGGTTCAGATAAAACAGGAAACTATTGAGTCCAGGCTTTCTGAATTAAAAAGGTAAAGTGTTATTTCCAAATATAATTTTAATCTGGGAATTGGGTATGTGTCTATGTGTGTTGAGTTTGGAGGTTGTCTGATGTTTTATTGTAAGTACTCAGATCACTTTGTTGAAGCCAAGATCAAAGGTCATTTTTCTGCAAGTATTGGTTCCCTTTACTTTGATTTGTGGCCACTGACTTTACTCTAATATTGTTTTAATTATGATAGTCAGAAGAAGATATAAACCTAAGCGTATCAAAACAGTTTGATGTATAAGTCTTAGCAATAAACAGTAGGTCTTTAAGATGATGTAGGAAATATGATTCTATTTAGGTTAGCTCATATGGTGCTCATAGACAATGAGGGCATACGACATAAAAACCCTGTATGTTACCCATCCTTTGTTTAATGGCTGTCTCTTAAGATTTCTTTGTGTGGACTCTTAGGAAAAAGTAGGACACAAAAAAATCGGAAAACGATGCAGGAGAGTTGCCATGCTTGATACTTATTTCGTATAGACTTGGAAAAGTGTTATTCAGAGCTTTTATCTACAGAAAGATGCTTCGTTTTATTTTACTACATTTCTTGGTTACCATTATTGTAACTTGCCATACTAATAACTTGTGTATAGAGTAGATAGTGTATTACTCTTCTTAGTAAGTAGCTGGAATTTTTCTGTATCCTAATAGGTGCCAAGGGCTTAAGAGTGGTTACTTTACATATTCTCTCTTCCATATCAGATGTGAGACGTTACTTTAGTTAATCATAACTCAAATATCTTCATTAAAAGAGGAACCTATAACTTTGATTTCTTTTTTAAATAAGCTTTAGGCTTTCTCTTCTTGTGTATTTAACAACTTGTTTACTGTATGTATCTTGTGTATACTAGCTGCTCTTTGACCCAGTTCCTTGGGACCACAGTTTCAGCCTTTAAAGAAAGTGATCCCCAAATCATTTTTTGTACCTTAGAGGGAACTTTCTTCTCCTTATCTTTTTGTTTGTTTGTTTTTGTTTTGAGACAGTCTCACTCTGTTACCCAGTCTGGAGTGCAGTGACTTGATCTTACCTCACTGCAATCTCCGCCTGCCGGTTCAAGCGATTCTTGTGCCTCAGCCTCCCTAGTAGCTGGGATTACAGGCATGTGCCAGCTAATTTTTGTATTTTTAGTAGAGATGGGGTTTCACTGTGTTGGCCAGGCTGTTCTCAAACTCCTGACCTCAAGTGATCCGCCCACATCGGCCTTTCAAAGTGCTGGAATTACAGGCACGAGCCACCGCACCCAGCCCTACTTATCTTTATTTAGTAAGCAGATAACAACATTTTTTAATTTGAATCAGAAAAATACAGTAGTTATTCAGTAAATATTAAAATCTCCTTTGGTATACCCTTATATGTAAATCTCCAGTTCCTTTTATATTAGTTTGGATTAAAGAAGATGACTTGTGGAGAATAACAAAAGATGGAAAATTAAAGCATTTAATAGGTATTCAGCATTCTCCGTGCTGCGAACATTTAACAACATAATGCAGTTTCAATTAAAAAAGGTGAACGAAGAAGAAGCTATTCATATTTGGCAAGTTATTAGTTTATTATTGGATATGCTTTTTCAGAATAACATTTTAGTGGTTTACATATGCTGTTGTTTGAGATAGATCTTAAGATAGTTTTAGAATCTGACAGACTTTAGTTTGATTTCAACACTTACCAAATTATTTGTATGATCTTGAGCAGTTCCCCTCAATTCTCTGTACCTCAGTGTCCTCATCTATAAAATAGAGATGATGACTTATTTCTTGGTGGTTTTTAGAGAAATTTTAAATAAGTAATACACATAAAATGTCTAGCATAGTGCTTAGAGTATAGTAAGTGCTGGGTATATATCACTACCCTTTATTTCCTAAGGTGATTAGGAAGGCCTGAATTCACTTGGTAACCACAGTTGAAAGATTAGCTTATTTTTTTTTAAGCAAAAAATAATGAGCCAGATTGTCAAAAGTAGTAAATTGCCAACTACTATATTGATGTAGGCATATGTCTTAAGTTTCTGTGTATCTATTGTCATGAGTAGCAGATACTACACTTAGGAAGGAATGATTCTGGTGCTGGGTGCGGTGGCTCATGCCTGTAATCGCAGCACTTTGGGAGGCCGAGGTGGGTGGATCACCTGAGGTCAGGAGTTTGAGATCAGCCTGGCCAACATGGCAAAACCCCGTTTCTACTAAAAATACAAAAAAAATTAGCTGGTTGTGGTGGCACATGCCTGTAATCCCAGCTACTTAGGAAGCTGAGGCACGAGAATTGCTTGAACCCTGGAGGTGAAGGTTGCAATGAGCCGAGATCGTACCACTGCACTTCAGCCTGGGCGACAGAGCAAAGCTACACCTTTTTTTTAAAAAAAGAATGATTCAGGAGTTGTGTCAAGGTAGTTGTCATTCCTATGTAATTGAACCAAAGTTTTCTTGGTCTCATAAATACATATAGTAAAAACAAGTGTAGTTCAGTTGTCTGGTATTCTTAATTAAAGATACTATGGTCTGGTTTTTTGATTGATTTTTTTTTTGTTTTGTTGCTTAATAAATTATAACATAGTGAGAATGAGTCCCTTTGGAAGGAGGTGTCAGAATTACGAGCAAAGCATGCACAACAGCAACAAGTTATTCGAAAGGTAAGAAGCTCTTTTCCCCAGGACCATAATTTGCATTTGTTTAATGAGTACTGTTTGTGACCCAAAAAGGTCTTTATTGAGTGTCTGTGATTGATCTTAGTTTCTTACATATTGGATGCACAGATAGAAGTAAAAAATGAAATGAAATTAAGCCAAGTGTTACACATTTTTAATAAAAAATTTCTCACTAGCTAAAGATGGTTATTCCATACTCGCAGATAATGTCTCAGTAGCTTTTAGTAAATGATCTTTTGCCTAATATAACAATTTTGAAATACTTTATTTTTATGAGCATAATGAATACACTACCAATTTCTTTTAAAATTAGAAAACATAGCCTTACTGGTTTTTTTTGTTGGTTTTTATTATAAAAGGCATAGTTAAGGTCTCAGAAGATAAATGACAAATATTTTCAAATCAGTTGACCAAATTATGAGTTCAGAAAATGATTTCTCAATGTATGCTGTTATTAGTCTGTGGAGAAAAGCAGTTAACATAGTGTTGTAAAATGAATTTTAGATTTTAGTATCTGAGCTGAAAATTTAATAGAGGAGTTGGAATCCCTCCGTTTCATTGTGTCCTTGTGATTTAATCTTTGCATATCAGCTTTCATTTGCTAATAAGAGATGAAACATAGTAATTAAGGCAGCTATTTTTTGCTCATGAGTAAACTAGACTCTGAGTTTAAGCAACAGGTTTTTTGAGGGGGAGCTTCTGATTGCTCCTGCTTAGAAGGCCCTTGAACTAAAAATAGGGTTGTGACTGACAGGATCAGGGTCTAATGGAGAAGGCTTTAAAGCAGAGATGAGTAGCAGTTGCAGCCTGTAGCCTAGTCAACATAGATTTACTGTGTTTTTTTTTTTTTTTAAAGTGTGCAAGTGAAGGTTGAATGTAGTAGAATTCAGTTCTAAGTGTTTAGTCCAAGTACATGTATTTTTAAAACTTTCATAGGCAACTCTAATGTGCAGCCTGGTTAAGAATAGTTGACTTAAAACAATAGATGTACCTTAACCTGTACTTTATGGAAACAGTCTGTTAATACTTTTCAGAAACAGTGTTTTGGTAATATATTAGCTTACAACACTCTATAATGTGTAGATTTTTTTTTTCCTGAAAGCAAGAATAGTTGATAAAATAGCTATGTGACATTTCAGTTTTTCATGAATGCTAACATTCTGTCTGCTAAAATTTGAGTTTGAATCTCTGTGCTTTGGTGAGTGGTGTTTATATAATGCATGACGACAACCAATAATTTTTACTCTGCTCCTGGAATTTACTCTCAGCCATGGATTAATTGAGAATAATATGTGTGATGGTCCAGTTATAGGACTTAACAGGTACAGAAGTTACATGCTGTAAGTGTTAGACGCCTTATCTTCTTCAGATAAAAATCCCTGTGTAATGTGATCCAGAAGTGTCAACAGAGAACTGAGATGTAGAATAAATTTAATTTAGCCAGTGATTGATGTTCTTATAAATTCAACCTGAAGTTTTTAGAATATTCCCATAACATTTATTAATTAAAAAAACTGAAGTCGAATTGTATCATAGATATCTTTAAGCTTACATATTGTCTTTTCACTAGCTGTTAACATTTTCTCTTGAATAAGCAATTTAGTGTCTACCCTCCTTTTCATAGACTCTAATACTATGAACCTCTTCAGTTAAAATGTCTATATTTTTTTCCATTGAAAAATTGATATTGATTATAAGGCAGACCATTTAGTAGCCTTTTTTGTAAGGAAATGCTCACTGTTAGAACCTGTACAATAGATATTTTTAATTGATAATACTCTATTTAATCATGTAACTTCACAAAGCTTATAAGCACACTTTCTGCACAGAGTCTAAATAGTGCTCCAATCAATTTTGGCTTTTATTCATAGCTTCTCAGTGATATACTACTTTTTATAGTTTACCATATGATCCTCACCTTTTATAGCACCTTTAGGAAGTTGGCAATGTAATTTCAAGACATACTCTAAGCCAGTAGTTCTTATACTCACATCAGTATCCAGTCTACACTAAAGGGTTTTCTAAACATACTGGATCCCATGATCCGAATTTCAGATTCAGCAGTTCTGTAGTAGGATTGAGAATTTAACATATCCAAAGTTCCTAAGCTAGTGTTCCTGGTATTATGGGCCACACTTTAAGAAACACTACTATAAGATATGAAAGCTTGTTTGTGTGTCTTCACAATTTTCTCTCTAAATTTAATTAAATATTAAAGATTAGCTTCCCTTGTCAGTAGGAAGTTTTGACAGATAGGTCTCAACATTAATCTTTATAGAATCAGACAATAAACTTTTATCTTTTTCTTTTTTTTCTTTGGTTGCAAGCAGAGTTTGTTTGTTTAGAAATGGAGCATCACGATGTTGCCCAGGCTGGTCTCCGACTCCTGGGCTGAAGCAATCCTCCTACCTAGGCTTCCCAAAGTGTTGGGATTACAGGCATGAGCCACCACGCCTGGCCCATCACCTTTTTCTAACTCGAAAATTTCATGATTATTCTGAAGGAACTGACGGTTTATTTTGCCTCTGTTACCTGGTATAAGAAAAATGTTGCCTATCAAACACCAGTTTTCTCTTTTGCACCGTAGTGTAATCTTCAAAGTACTTGAAGTAAAAAAGTTGGGATCTATAGCCAGGCAAGTTTGGTACTTATCACCAAAACAAATAAACTGCCTGGAAGCTGGTATGTTTCTTTAGACGGTGGTTCTACGGTGCGTCTGGATTTCAAGTGTTAATATGTGAGAAATTATGAGACTTAGAGGACAAATTATTATATGAATTTGTTTTATAAGACTTGGTAATAGAGACAAAAGAATTAACAGTATAATGAAATAATTTTTGTTTATATTTTTTTCAGATTGTCCAGTTTATTGTTACATTGGTTCAAAATAACCAACTTGTGAGTTTAAAACGTAAAAGGTAAGTTTTTATGATAAAGTATTATGTCCTGTATATAGGCAGTCACACTTTTTAGTGTTTAACCATGAGTAGCCTACACTTGCTGAGTATGTGCTTGTTGTCCAAAAAGAACAATTCTCCTTTGTTAAATTATACTCTTAAAATCTCTAGAGTAGTATTATTTTTTAGTTTTATCATTCTGCTGATGTTTGTGAGAGATAAGGGTAGCCTAAATGGTCACTTTATAGACATACATACAGTTAATACAAAATATTCACTTTTCATTCACATTATTAAAGTAGCATTAGAAGGCCTGAGTGAAGGAAATTTTTAAAAAGAGGCCATATGTTAAAAAAAAAATGAAAATTTGTTTTACTTGACCTCTCTTAGTTTAAGCCACTCATAGTCTTTTTAAATCTGTATCTCAGCCATGGGTTGTGATACCTGTAAATGTCAGTAGCTACTATTGTCACAGCTAAAACATTAGAAGAATAATGGACAAAAGGAATAGTTGGAAGGAAAAAATGATCTGTAACACTAAGATTTGGGAAAAACTTGATTATGATCAGAGCTTTATGGCCTTAACTACTTCCACTAATTAGTTCTTATGATATTATCTATTTTTTTCTATATAAATACAGTTCATAGAGTTGTGTGGTTCGGTAAGCAATGAAGTATAACTGGAGAGAATAGCTTATTATAACAAAAAGAGTGTAGAAAAGTGGAGAACTGAAAGTCCTAGATATTCTCATCCAGCAGTTTCTGTTCCTAAGATGTAATCATTTTTAAGTTTATTTATTGTTACTGAAATTTTTTATTCATTATTAAGTGAGTGTGCATGTGTGTGTGTTTGGGTAAGTTAATAGAGGGAGTTTAAATTCATTGTATGTTTGCTTCACTGAACTGCATATTCTTCTGGTTTTCAGGCCTCTACTTCTAAACACTAATGGAGCCCAAAAGAAGAACCTGTTTCAGCACATAGTCAAAGAACCAACTGATAATCATCATCATAAAGTAATTTTTTAGTTAGGGTCTATTTTATATTTATTGTCTCAGACTAAATTTTATTATGGCAGTGTTTCATGCATTCAAAGAAGTGTGGTGAATAACAATTCAAGTGTTCATCCCACAGCTTTGTTAAATTGTGACATTTTTTATTATTTGCTTTAGATTATTGTAAGAAATAAATCATCACAAATCTAGTTGTTCCAGTTGCCTGTTTCTAAGTTTTTCTCTCTCCCCGTCTCTTGTCTCCCCTCTTTACTCTTCCTCGCTTACCCTAGAGGTAATCACTATCTTGAATTAGTATCTATCATTCTCATGGCCATTTTGTATATGTGAATCCAGGAGCAGTACTTGGTATTATTTTGCATATATCTAAACTTCATATAAATAATATCATTTTGTGCATATCATTTTATAGTGTGGCTTTTTTTTAACTTGATGTTGCTTTTGAGATTTATTAAACATAGCGATTTAGTTTATTCATTTCTTTTTTTTTTTTTTTTTTTTTTTTTTTTTGAGATGGGATTTCACTCTGTCACCCAGCCTGGAGTGCAGTGGTATGATCTTGGCTCACTGCAGCCTCCACCTCCTGGGCCCAGGCAATTCTCCTGCCTCAGTCTCCTGAGTAGCTGGGACTATAGGTGTGTGCCACCACACTTGGATAATTTTTGTATATTTTGTAGTGATGGATTTTCATCATGTCACCTTTGCTGGTCTCGAACTCCCAGACTCAAGCCATCTGCCTGCCTCAGCCTCCCAAAGTTTTGGGATTACAGGCATGAGCCACTGCACCTGGCTTACTCATTTCAATATTATATAATAATTGAATATTTTGAAAATGTAATTATTATAATTTAATGTGATTATATATTCTTACATTGGTTATTCTATTTTCAACTTTTTTTTATTAATGTTCACCAACTAGAATGCTTTTTACTCCAGCAATTTAAATTTTTACCTTCATTTTGTCACAGGCTTTCTGGATAATTTGTCAGATTTCTATCCAGTGGCAAATTAGTCCAGTCCAAAGTCCAGATCTTTTTTATTATCTTTTTGTTACTACTTTCAAACTTCAGAATTCAAAATAGTTCTTTAGATTTATTATTAAAGTAATAAGATTTTTGTTCTTGGACAATCAAACTTAACCTCACATCTGATTTCTTTTCCCTCTACTGTTAGAAAATAATCAAGCATACCTATTTTGTTTTTAGGATTGAAGGCTCATGTAAGTGGATGAAGATTTTTATATTTTTAACTGGGTTTATATATTTTAAAGTACTTCACATCCTTTGCCTCTTTATTATCTAGTATTGGAATTTATAGTTTTTTGCATTTTAATAATGACTTTAGTTTGCTTTACAGGATTGAACTTAGTTTGATTAATACAGCTGTAGCCTGAATATATCTGTAGCTTAAGTTTAAAAAAAAATCATTGCTAAAAAGCCAAGCTAACATGTAACTGAGAGAGGTGAAGTGCGTTTTTTTCTCTTAGTGAAGGTATTTAATGAATAAGAATAAAACACATTTCAAAACAGAGCATCTTGAGCTGAAACAATATCCCTATCAGCATGGTGGCTGTCTGGTCGTGCTTGAAGTTTCTAGTGAAGTCCTAAGACTTTTTTACTCTTTAGGCATAAAAAATACTTTAAAATTTGAAGATCTTTCCATAGAAACATTTTTAGGGGTGTCATCTTCAGGGTCCCTTACAGTAAAAGAAGTAGTAAAGTGTAGAATGCAGTTAATATACCTCATACCTCTGTGAATTGGTGCTGCTAGTACCAATTATTATGTAAGTTCCGTAAGAGCAGAGAACACACCTGTTTTGCATACCCCGAGATTCAGTAAATAGTAGTTGCCTAGTTATTTTGTAGATGATATCTTGTTTGGTAGTCAATGATTTTGATTTTTAGATATATTTTTCTCTCTGAATTTTTAGGTTCCACACAGTAGGACTGAAGGTTTAAAGCCAAGGGAGAGGATTTCAGATGACATCATTATTTATGATGTTACTGATGATAATGCAGATGAAGAAAATATCCCAGTTATTCCAGAAACTAATGAGGATGTTATATCTGATCCCTCCAAGTAAGGAGTTTGTGAGATAAAATGTATGAAAATATTGATTACTTTTCTTATTACAGAGTAAAATTCAAAACTACTTTGTTCTTTGAAAAATAATAATCTTTCTCACATTTGGATTATTAAACTTGATAATTAAGCTAAATTATTCAACCAGATAAAACCTCACCTCCTCTTCCTCTCAAAGGAGGTATACTGAAAACTAATTGATTTTTAATTTTTATTTTGGAGTTAAGCACTTCTCATTCAATCTTTATGGTCTTCTATACTATGAAGTACCAATATTGTGATTAAGCTGCTCGCTCAAGAAATTTAAGCCTTTCAGTATGTGGTATGGGGAGAGAGTTTCCATTTAGAATGAATGGATAGTATGAACTTATTAAATTTGAAAATGTAATAGGTTCCTTCTTTTATTGCTGATTTAGCTGTAGCCAGTACCCTGATATTGTCATCGTTGAAGATGACAATGAAGATGAGTATGCACCTGTCATTCAGAGTGGAGAGCAGAATGAACCAGCCAGAGAATCCCTAAGTTCAGGCAGTGATGGCAGCAGCCCTCTCATGTCTAGTGCTGTCCAGCTAAATGGCTCATCCAGTCTGACCTCAGAAGATCCAGTGACCATGATGGATTCCATTTTGAATGATAACATCAATCTTTTGGGAAAGTGAGTGCTTATCTAGATGTTGTCTAAAATTATTTGCTTTCTTTGTTCACTTCACATGTTCTGTTTCTCTTTGAGTAATCTTCCTTTCAGATGATGAACCCACATAGTCCACCTTTCTCTGTTTTGGTCAGTGTTGAGTTCTGTAATGAATGGGATTTAATCATCCCAAGAATAGTCTTGGTATTTTCCTGGTAGTTTCTCAGATTCCTTTGATGATATACTTCCTTTGAGTGTACATACAGTGTTTGTGATTATATATATTTGTGTATCCAAACTACAGAATAATGTAATTTCTAGTAAGGTACTTATAACAAAGAAAACTTAATAGTAATAATCAGTAATGAGATTAAACATTTTATATAGTATAGAGGAAAAAGGTAAATCAGACTGTTCTGCAGGGTGTGTTTTTCTGTAAATACTAAAGTTTTCTGTAAAGGCTATGAATTTTCAGTTAACCAGATTTTCAAGAATTCCTACTCTAGAATAAGATCTCTTAAGATTAAGAACCGGTAAGGATGCAGCAGCTGCTAGAAATATCTTGCCTAGCCAAGTTGTAATGGTGATTTTTAAACATAAAAACAAGGATATCTAATATTTGATTAAAAAAATTTTTTTTTCCTTAGGGTTGAGCTGTTGGATTATCTTGACAGTATTGACTGCAGTTTAGAGGACTTCCAGGCCATGCTATCAGGAAGACAATTTAGCATAGACCCAGATCTCCTGGTTGATGTAGGTACTTTGGGTAATCTTTGCTATACTGGTAGTTTGTGTGTTTATGTATATTATTTAAAAACCAGTACGTCATTTTGTTTTGTATTCTACAGGTTGTTTTTGCATTTCTTTTTTAAATTAATAATTTTGTTTATCAGAAAGAATGAAAAAATAGGTTTGGGACATTGAAGGAGTATGATTACCACCTGCCTTGGAGTAGCAATTGAACTAATTTCCCTGTGAGAACATATCAGATCTTTTCAGCAGTACTGTTAAGTTCATGTCTTGTCTGGACTTGTTGCTCTTTTCTGTTTTGCTCTAGAATGAATTGTCAGTAAATAGAAATTTGTGGAAATTAGTAATAGAGGTACTTAGCTAGGAAATAGCATGGAGACACCTTTTGATACTTTGGGGATTAACATTTTTTACTCAAATATGTTTTAATATATTTGCCTTATTTTTTACATTTTTATATTTTGAGTTACAAGGTTCCCCTGCTCCAGTCCCCACCACCATCCCTATGAAGTTGACTTCAATATTGACTGGACTGAGAATTCTTATCTACCGTTTCTGCCACTAACCACCTTTCTTACTCTATTCTCTCTTGTTCCTGCTATTCCTCCCTTCTTTATCTAAAGCTTCCTACGTGGTCTGGTCGCGCTTAGATGAATCTTGTTCTGTCTCCTATTTCCATTTTCTGTTGTGAACAGTTTTCTCTCTTTATCCTGGAAAATTTTGTTGTCTTTTTTTCTGTGTTTCTTTCCTTACATTGCAGCTTCTCTTACCCTTTTACAAGCCTCTCAGGCTAAACAAGAATTAGTTCTTTCTGCTCTTCAATCTTATTTCAAGTTCATTAATTTACTGCATTACTCCTCTGCTTCTCACCAGTCCTTGTCAGTGCCCCAAGGACTTGTTCTTACTAAATTGTTAGCACCTCACAGAGGGGATTTTACTTTCTTTGAAGATTTCTTTTCCATTTTGACCTGTGTTTCTATCTTATGAATACATGTTAATTTGAATTTTGTATCCATGTTGATAACCTACTTCAACTTAGCGGTAACCTGACAGTGTTTTTTGATCCTATCAGCCTTTCTCCCTTCTTTAGATCCAGAGACCTTTCAAAATATTTTTCCTTTAGATCACCAAGAACGAAATAAAATTCTATAATTCTGGCCATGTTCAAATCCTTACAGTCTTCAGCTAGGTCATTTTAATTCAACTTTAAAACATTTGCCACATTTATTTGCCCTAAAGACCTTATCCAGTCAACAACCCCTTATTCACAGAGGATAATTAACTATACTCTCATTCTCTCATAAGTAATGACTCTGTTTCCAATCTTGTATCCTTTCTTCTTAGAAGTAATTCCTTAAACCAATGTGTACCCCTATCCTTTGCCTCTGTATTTGTCTCCTCTATCCTTAATCTTTCCCGTCTGCCTTCAGTAGTTAGAGATCTGCTCCATCTTAAAAAACAACCATTTTGACATCTTGCTTTGTTCATTTACCATTCTGCTTCTCTAACTCCTTTACTACAAAACTTTAGAAACGAGTGGCTGTATTTACCTCTTTTTTACTCTATTTTGTCTGAAGCTTTGTATTGTGTTGCTTATTAACTCAAACTCTGCACTGCCTGTGTTGTCTTGGTTTTTTTCATTGTAAGTACGCTGTGTGTGATTTTTCTTTTCTTTTTGCTGTATTAGTCCATTGGGCTAGTGGAAAGTTTGTTTTGAATCAGACAAATTTGGGTTCTGTTATAGGCTCATGTTATTTACTAGCTATGTTACTAACCTTTGAAAAGTTATTCTCTCTCGCCTAGTTTCTCCATTTGTTAAATGTTGCTAATGTCTAACATGAAGGGCTGTTGGCAAGAATTAGAAATAATTAACACTATTATTAACATTATTGGGCATTCTGTACAATAGAACTTTTATTGTTGATTTTAGAGGTGCTGTACTTTTTTGTTCTCTCCCTGTCTCCCTAATCTTCTCTGTTTTATCTAAGAGCTTTTCTTTTTTCTACTATCTTCTACTTAAGGGCATCCCCTAATGCACCCAATCTTTCAGCCTCTTTTACTTTTTCTGTCTCTCTTCTTTTTCCATTCTTCCTCTGTGAAGAGATTTTGGCTTGTAAGATTGCTTTCAAATGTGTATATCCAGCTCTTAACATTTTTCTAAAGTAAACTGGACTTGAATTCTAATTCCGTTACTTTGGGATCATCAGTTAGCTCTTACCTCAGATTACTTGATTTAACAATAAACTTCTTTATTCTCTGTATTAGTTACATTTTACAGCTTTCTGATTTTCTGTAGTGGTATTACTTCTATTTACTTAGGAGGATAGTTATCACAGAATCACCTTGAATTCTCTTTCTCTCATCATTCACTAAATCCAGTTTTCTAAAATAGCATTCACAAGCCATCCCTATATTCTGTTTTCACTATTGCTTTTCTCATCCAAGACCCTCATTATTTTATCCTTGAATTACGCTGTATTGTCATAAATAAAAAGTCCACCTATGCTGCTTTGTTCTCTGAGATGACAAAAATGGTAAGAATGTGAATAAGTGTGCTGAAAAGTTTACAGCTTCTCTCTGAAGAGTTTAGTACCAGTACTGGTAACCCAGAGTGGGGTCACAGCAGGAGAGGCCTGGCCTTAGAATTCAACCAGCTGTGTCAGCTTATATATGATCTACTTTTTCTACCATTTGTCTCCTAGGAATACATGTAGGATATCCCTGAGTTAGTGGGTAGGGGTTGCTGGGCAAAGAGGAGAATAGAGGAGCTTACAGTGCTGGTCCTCCTCAGATGCCACTCTCTGTAGGGACAAAATTTGGGTTAGGCTTCTTAGGCAGTGATAAGCTAAACTGGCAGAGATTGATTATTATGAGTCACTATCTACTCTCAAGGATCTGAGCTTTCTTCCTTTTCTGAGGTTAGTAGTTGGTAAGAAAGGAGAAGGAAATAAAAAGGCAAAGCCAGGGAATTTTATAGGACTACCATGAATATGGAACTTTAAAGAGAGGAATCAGTGTCTAGAGAGAATGGAGGAAGAATCTGCCTGTGGCTTTTTTGCACCTCATTCTATCCTGTGAACCATTTGGTGTGTTCATTCTCATAAAAGGCTAACTCAGTGAGTGCATTTCATCATTCAGGCCATTCCCAAGGCTCTTATTGCTGACAGGATGTGGCCTCTACTTTTCGAACCTATGTATATAACTTATTCAACTTAGAACTTCTGTGTTATTTCTATTTCTGGAACATATCCTACCTTCTTTGTTGATGCCGCTAGTATTATACCCGTGTGTTCTTCCCCTAGTCTTCTCCTTTCCAAGTTCTAACCTAATATTCTCCAGGTACTGATATATATCACATAGTTTTATCAGCCCTTTTATTTCATTATGTATGTTTCTGTGTGCGCTTTCCTCCCTTCCCATTGTCTTAACTCCTTAGTGCTTTTGAGCGCCACCATCTTCTGTTAAAATACTGGATTATATCTGAACGTGTGTTGCTATTTGATGTTGGTCTTACCTTGTCCTTTAGATTGTAAGCTCCTAGAGAGCAGGAATGATGTCTTTATGATGTCAGTTATTTGTTAAAGATACTCAGTAAATTTCTATGGAATGAATGACTTTAAAGCTTATGACTTATAGTTACATCTGTGAACTGGCTGGACTGAGGAGTGCAGTAAGCAGTGATCTTAGCACTTAAAATTTTCCTTGCGAGGTGTGGTGAAAAGAACCAACAAGTAGATATGCCATCTGTCAGAGGGCTTCACTTGAGGCATAGTTTAGGAGCCACTGTCATAGAGCAGATTCTGTAAATTTTTTACCTAACCAGGTATTCAGTGAAGGCTCAGTGTCAGGGCAGAGGTCTCAACCCTGCACACCACTTAAGGCCAAAGACATTTAGAGAAAAAAAATAAAGGAAATGAAATTGAATGATAAATAATGAAGAAGGGAGGAGGTGAAAACCACTATTTGTCTCAAGTGATTTACCCCAATGTTTTTTAGAGAAATTCTTACCACATGAAATTTTATCTAATGCATGGGCTAGCTTGTTCTGCTTTTGTTTGTTTTTCTTTCTGCTTTTCTCTTTCAAACTTGTTTAACTGTATAGAAGCTTCCTAGTGCAGGGGCTACATCTCTTCACCCAACATGGCTGTATAAAATTTTGAACACACAATTATTTTTAATTATTTTTTAAACTTATCATCTTTCTTGTTTGGTCTTTCAGCTTTTCACTAGTTCTGTGCAGATGAATCCCACAGATTACATCAATAATACAAAAGTAAGTTTTAATTCATGTTGCTCAGGACCCATAGCTATAAAAATCTACAAAAACGTCCTAATAAGTAGAGAGCAATGTCACTCCCAGCCACAAAAAGCATTTTATATTCTTACCCAGTATGTGTGATCAAGATAATAAAATTCTAGTTGAAAAATTAGCTTTTGGTTATGTGGTGAACTATTACCCACTTTTGGCACTTGTGGGATTAACTACCAGTATGAAATTAACTTCTTTTGGTGCTGGGAGATCACCTGACTAAACTTGGTATATTGAAACCAATAACTAAAATATGATTTCTTCATGTTTTATGGGCAGCATTTTACATTCTTATTTTTCCTATTCTCAACTTTTTTATTAAAAAGTTATAGTACCCATATTTTTTGTGAGTTCTATCATTAGCATAAAGTAAAAATTCAGGAATTCTTATTTATTGCAGAAAAGGGAAGTTGAAACGTATGAATATTTGACTTTTTTTAAGTAATAAGGATTTTTTTTTTGACATATAGGAACTGCACTTGGGCTTAGCAAGTGTTGACAAGAGATTTTGCGGAACTTGTTTTTAATGAGTAGTAAGGACAATTTGAAGTTATTAGAGCAGGTGTTTTATATCATTGTATTTTATATAACTTAATTGTCATGAATAGGTATACACTCCCTTTATCTTTTATTTGTACCAAATTGTTTAGTAAGCCTTGTTAAAGGTAAATCAAGTCCAGATTCCAGATTAGTGAAGCCAGAATTTTATTTTGATTCTTTTTCTTTATAGTCCAAAAATGAGCACATCTCAAATAAATATAAGTGATTAGGGTGAGGGGTGGAATTTATACGATTATTGTCATGTGTAAGCCTGACCAGACTGTCTATATCTTCAAAGTTACATTGTGGATAACTTAGAGCTTAAAAAATTTGTGAATTTGTGAAATAGGAAGTTGATTATACATTCAGTATTCAGATAATTTATATTGGAGGTTGGCATACTTTCTCCATAAAGGGGCAGCTAGTAAATACTTTTGGTTTTTCAGGCCATATGTTCTCTGTCATAACTATGCAGTTCTGCAATTGTAATGTGAAAGCAGATACAGACAATATGTAAAAGAATGTGTGGTTGTGTTGCAAAAAAACTTCATTTACAGACAGGCAGCATGCTGAATTTGGCATATGGACCATAAGTTTACCTGGATTTATATTACAAGATTTTATATAACATGCTCTGTGTTTCAGTAAATATATTACTGAATGTTATTCTCATGGACCATTTAAGTTGAATGGACCCATATCATTTGTTCATGTAGTGAATGTGCTTTGTTGTTTATTTGCGACTGGACATTGAGTCCTTATTTGTGGATCATCATCTTATTCCTGAAACCAAGACCTTGATTATAGTTTTCAAAAACTATAAGCAGTTAAGCAACAAATTGCATTTTGCTCTACAATGCTGTAGAAAAATTACATTTGAGAGTGACTTTTCATTATAGTTCTGAATCTAGATTTTAATGTTTTCAAATAATTGGCACATCAGCTGTCCTTCCCTTGCTCATGACAGGTATTACATAACATGGATTACAACACTTTCCTAATAAATCAGATGCCTTATACTTCTCAGTACAGCAATCTTAATTGGCCACTATGAATGAATAAGAATTTGCATGGGAAATGAAATCTCATTCAGTATGATACTGGCTATGGGTTTGTCATAAATAGCTCTTACTGTTGTGAGATATGTTCCATCAATACCTAGTTTATTGGGTGTTTTTAGCATGAAAGAGTGTTGAATTTTATTAAAGGCTTTTCTGCATCTGTTGAGATAATCATGTGGTTTTTGTCATTGGTTCTGTTTATGTGATGGATTACGTTTATTGATATGTGTATGTTGAACCAGCCTTACATCCCAGGGATGAAGCCGACTTGATGGTGATGGATAAGCTTTATGATGTGCTGCTGGATTCAGTTTGCCAGTATTTTATTGAGGATTTTCGCATTGATGTTTATCAGGGATATTGGCCTGAAATTTTCTTTTTTTGTTGTGTCTCTGCCAGGTTTTGGTATCAGGATGACGCTGGCCTCATAAAATGAGTTAGGGAGGAGTCCCTCTTTTTCTGTTGTTTGGAATAGTTTCAGAAGGAATGGTACCGCTCCTCTTTGTACCTCTGGTAGAATTCAGCTGTGAATCCGTCTGGTCCTGGCTTTTTTTGGTTGGTAGGCTATTAATTACTGCCTCAATTTCAGAACTTGTTATTGGTCTATTCAGAGATTTGACTTCTTCCTGGATTAGTCTTGGGAGGGTGTATGTGTCCAGGAATTTATTCATTTCTTCTGGATTTTCTAGTTTATTCGTGTAGAGGTGTTTATAGTATTCTCTGATGGTAGTTTGTATTTCTGTGGGATCAGTGGTGATATCCTCTTTATCATTTTTTATTGTGTCTATTTGAAATCCATTTGTTATCAGGTTCTCATGTTTTAGAATAACGGTGACGTCTTTGGAAAATACCTATTTTAGGAAGCCTAAAAATAAAGATGGTATTATTTCATTAATGTTTATATATTTATTGTGAATGCTAAGTGATGAAATATTTTTATGTACACTTTTGGAAAGGTTTCGTAGTTTTTATTATATCTTGGAGCCCTTATTTTCTCTTAAATCCTAAAACTTACACAGCTTCATTTTATGTTAAATATCAGGGGAATTACTGGAATTAGTTTACAGTTGGTTACACCATATATATTTAGCCAGCATGTAGATCTGGGACTTGCAGATGTCTGGGACTTACAGGAAAAATTAAGAACCTCTGCACCTCAGAGTTTGAACATGAAAGGAGCACTGAAGAAATTAACAATGGTAAAGATATAATTTCCCTACCACAGTCAGATGTGAGGAGAGAAGAAAGTGGTTCAAAGAAGCAATTTAAATGACAGAAAAGAACTGACAGAGCTACAGAAAGGACAAGAAGAAACACCACCTCAACTTTGAGGCTTCTAAATAGTGATAAAGAGTTTTAAGGATGTCATTATGTCATCCTGAGCTACTCTAAATATGTTCACTTATGCTAAATATTCTGTTTATGAGTGAAATGTATAATACATTTTTTAAATCAAAACTACTTAAAATGAATTTAATTGCTTAGTTAATTATCTCTCAATTAACATTTTGAAACCAGTCATCTTTGATTCATTCTGATCTTTTACTCGTGACAAATTCTATCTGTTCTGCTGCTGAAATCCCCCTTCATTTCATACTTAATATAGAACATCTTAATTCAGGTTCTTTGTTTTATCCCCTCAGTGACAGCAATAGTTCCTTAACCAGTCTTGTTATCTCTACTCAGATCTCTCTCTGTAGCCCATTTTCCCTGATGTTTCCCCATCTCATATATTTCAGATAATATACCAGTATTTACATATTGTATCAATTTTTCATTTTTTTCAGAAACATAAAATATGAAACAAGTACTTATATATATATTTTTTTCTTTTAGTCTGAGAATAAAGGATTAGAAACTACCAAGAACAATGTAGTTCAGCCAGTTTCGGAAGAGGGAAGAAAATCTAAATCCAAACCAGGTAGGTATAAATATAGTATTCAGTCTCTGTAGGTTTTTTTAATCCTATGCAGAAACAAGTGCAAGCCGAGGGTAGTCTTAATTGAATATGCTGGCTTTAGTTCTGTGAATAGTGTGTCGAGGTTCTAGTATATAGAGAAAGTTGAATTGGTGAGGTAACAATTCTTTAAGTTTTTTTTTTTTATCCTATTTAACTTTAGGAAACTAAAGACCCCTCATTTCTTAATTGTTGAATAAGAGCTATTGACTTGCACATTTTAAAATTTATTGACATAGTGCATCATGTCATTTCTTGTTTGGCTATATGAGAGTAGTAATTGCCTATGTGTACATCTCTGTTTTCATTTTTTTCCCCTCAGCTTGAACTCAGTATAAGCTGGTGATAAAAGAGTGTTTTTCTGATCTTTATAGATAAGCAGCTTATCCAGTATACCGCCTTTCCACTTCTTGCATTCCTCGATGGGAACCCTGCTTCTTCTGTTGAACAGGCGAGTACAACAGCATCATCAGAAGTTTTGTCCTCTGTAGATAAACCCATAGAAGTTGATGAGCTTCTGGATAGCAGCCTAGACCCAGAACCAACCCAAAGTAAGCTTGTTCGCCTGGAGCCATTGACTGAAGCTGAAGCTAGTGAAGCTACACTGTTTTATTTATGTGAACTTGCTCCTGCACCTCTGGATAGTGATATGCCACTTTTAGATAGCTAAATCCCCAGGAAGTGGACTTTACATGTATATATTCATCAAAATGATGAACTATTTATTTTAAAGTATCATTTGGTACTTTTTTTGTAAATTGCTTTGTTTTGTTTAATCAGATACTGTGGAATAAAAGCACCTTTTGCTTTTCTCACTAACCACACACTCTTGCAGAGCTTTCAGGTGTTACTCAGCTGCATAGTTACGCAGATGTAATGCACATTATTGGCGTATCTTTAAGTTGGATTCAAATGGCCATTTTTCTCCAATTTTGGTAAATTGGATATCTTTTTTTTACAAATACGACCATTAACCTCAGTTAAATTTTTGTTTGTTTTCCTGTTTGATGCTGTCTATTTGCATTGAGTGTAAGTCATTTGAACTAATGGTATAACTCCTAAAGCTTTCTCTGCTCCAGTTATTTTTATTAAATATTTTTCACTTGGCTTATTTTTAAAACTGGGAACATAAAGTGCCTGTATCTTGTAAAACTTCATTTGTTTCTTTTGGTTCAGAGAAGTTCATTTATGTTCAAAGACGTTTATTCATGTTCAACAGGAAAGACAAAGTGTACGTGAATGCTCGCTGTCTGATAGGGTTCCAGCTCCATATATATAGAAAGATCGGGGGTGGGATGGGATGGAGTGAGCCCCATCCAGTTAGTTGGACTAGTTTTAAATAAAGGTTTTCCGGTTTGTGTTTTTTTGAACCATACTGTTTAGTAAAATAAATACAATGAATGTTGAGTACTAGTGTCTGTTATGTGTCTTCTTTAGAGGTGACACTCACATGAAACAATTTTTTCTTCTCATAGGAAGCAGTAGCTTTAAACTGTCTGTGGTTCATTATTCTCAATATGAATCATACCAAGATATTTGTGCCTCATCTCGAAAATATATTGTATATTGCAACAAGGGAGAAATATAATCTCTAAATTTAATGTATTTTAAAGTTCTTTGTTTAAAAATTATACTGGGTTGCTTTCTATGTTTCTAATAAAAAAGTGAGAGAATTATGCCTCTCATTGTCCCAAATAGTGTAAGAATATTATCACTGGATGTCTGGAGAGAAGATAAGAGAAATAGTCAAATCACCTCTTTCCTTTGAAACAGTTGCCCAAGAGAATTATGGAGACTTAATGCAAGGCCAGGGCACTTTATCATGTGAAGAATTTCACCTTTGGGCAAAGGGCTGAAAGCAGTACAATTAATATTGTATAGGGCTATTTAATGAGTTTCAAGGCAGGTTTTCCTATTGGCCATATTCTGTCAGTGTCTTAGAATTTCTTTTATTATGATGTAAAGATTCAAAGTAAGGGCTAGCACAGAAGAATAGGAAAATTCCCTTAGGAGAGTTTTAGTTAGATCCTAAAATACTTGGCTCTGATGGTGGGATCTTGGTGAATTAATTCAAGACCCTACAACAGTGCTCTGCGTGAGCTGAAGAGGTTATGTTTCTAAGGGTGATAAGAGTTTAGAAACTGAGAGGAGAAAACCTTAAAAGACTTTTCTTCATTCCTTTCTCATTGTGAAATACAGTCAAGTTTCTTCTTCTTGGGGGCATTTTGGAACTCTAGAAGCACTTAAAAAATAATTTTGAAAAACTTGATTATGACCCTGGTACTTTTAAAGTTGACATTTAAGATTTTTCATCTTAAGTTTAAATAGTTGGAAGGAATTTAGGATATAGTTAATATTGCTGTTTTAAAACATAATTGTTATATGTTTCTTTAACATTTACCTAAAGGAATTTGAATGCCATAGTGATTTGATCTCTATCATCCACTCTACTTCCTCCAAACAATTTTTTTTTTGAGACAGACTTTCACTCTGTCGCCCAGGGTAGAGAGCAGTGGCGTGATCTCGGCTCACTGCAACCTCCGCCTCCCAGATTCAAGCGATTCTCTTGCCTCAGCCTCTTGAGTAGCTGGGACTACAGTCATGTGCCAACACACCTGGCTAATTTTTTATTTTTAGTAGAGATGGGGTTTCACCATGTTGGCCAGGCCGGTCTTGAACTCCTGACCTCAGGTGATCTGCCTGCCTCGGCCTCCCAAAGTGCCGGGATTACACGCATGAGCCACCGTGCCCGGCTTCCTCCAAAGAATTTTATCCTGCTTTTTTATGTTTGAAAGTTAGACAATGATGATCTTTCGTGACACCTCTTTACATCTAAATTTGAGATTGTTTCCCATAACTGTAAGATTCTAGGCATTAAAAAACTTTCCCTCCAATTTTATACTGTATAACTACACAGTGGATTAAAACCATATAAATATATATGGTAGAGACTTAACTGATTGCCAGACCGTTTCCTTTTCCTATCATGTGGCTAGATTATTTCCACCACTGCAGATGGGGTAGCCATGTAACTGAGTTTTAATCAGTAAAACAGGAGAAGTGATGTGTAGCACTTCCAGTTCTGGTGGTGTAACTTCCCCCATGCATTCCTCCCATGCCATTTACCCCTCCACTGGCTTGATGCAGAGTTGTATGTAGCTTTCAAATATACAATCAAGAAGGAAAAAAATGGCTTCTTGAATTACTGCTTAGAGGAAGGCCACCTATCAGTCCTGGATAACCATTTTACACTTCAGGTGAGGGGAAACAAACCTTTTTTCTACCTGAGTTTTTGGGGGTTGATCTGTTATAGCTTGTAATGTTTACTACAATTAGAGTCTAATTTTGATGATCTGTTAAACAAAAAGTTTTACCAAAAATATATCTTATAGTGGAATAAACAGCTCTTCCTGAGTTTTCATAATAAAAGTTAGTACCAATTTTATTCCTATTTTTGTTTTCACTGATGTTAAAATCCTGAGAATCTTTGTTTATAGTACAAAATGACAAGTAGATGAAAAAGCAGTTTTGTATAGTACTGTTAATTTTTTAATACCTTTAGAATTATGTACCAGAATTCTATCAATTGATGACTCAGTTGGATCATCTTTCAATTTTGTTGAAAGCAAAATATTAGAAACCAGCTAAATCACAAAAAAAAGTTTTTTTTAACTCAGTGTCATCTCTTTCTCACCAATATTTTTAAATGTCCCTTTACCAATTGTCTGGAGATTTTTTTCCAAAGTGCATTGGTAAGATTCAGAATGGATAAGAGATATATCTTTGTTTTGTCAAGTATGAAAAGAATAATTTTTGTTCTGTTTTGTTTGAGATAGAGTTTTGCTCTGTTGCCCAGACAGGGATTACAATGGCGCAATCTCAGCTCACTGCAACTTCTGCCTCCCGGGTTCAAGCGATTCTCCTGCCTCAGCCTCTGGAGTAGCTGGGATTACATGCGTGCACCACTACGCCTGGCTAATTTTTTGTATTTTTAGTAGAGACGGGGTTTCACCATGTTGGCCAGGCTGGTCTCAAACTCCTGACCTCAGGTGATCTGCCCTCCTCGGCCTCCCAAAGTGCGGGGATTACAAGCATGAGCCACCGCACCTGGCCAGAATAATTGTTAAAAAGGATGATGCCGGCCGGGTGCAGTGGCTGACGCCTGTAATCCCAGCACTTTGGGAGACCGAGGTGGGTGGATCACGAGGTCAGGAGATCAAGACCATCCTGGCTAACACGGTGAAACCCCGTCTCTACTAAAAAATACAAAAAATAGCCGGGCATGGTGGCGAGCGCCTGTAGTCCCAGCTACTCCAGAGGCTGAGGCAGGAGAATGGCGTGAACCCGGGAGACGGAGCTTGCTTGCAGTGAGCTGAGATCGCGCCACTGCACTCCAGCCTGGGTGACAGAGCCAGACTCTGTCTCAAAAAAAAAAAAAAAAAAGGATGCCTTGTCCTGAGGCCTGAGGCACCGTTTCAGCCAGATCAGTTTTAGGAAAGAACACACATAGGAATGAAAGATGTGGTTTCTTTAAAAAACAATCTAGCTTGTGTGTACCAGAGGAAGTCTGCCTGTACTATCTGGGAAACTAGTACCACAGTGTGAAGACAGTGTAGGGGGTACCCCTCATTATCCCACTTCCAGCTTTTTTTTTTTTTTTGTCTTAGGGAGATAGAACTAGGACCATAAAAGCTTGCGAATTACAGACAGCTAAATGTTCTTTTAGGTTGTGTCAGTATGTGTTTGATTACAGATGGCATAATCAGGAATCTAGAGCTTCAGATGTGAGAAGAATGGTCTGCGACTGGAAAAATACCAAAATGACATTCACTATGACTTAACGTATATAAAAGGTCACGTTCAAGACTTAGAGCCTAAACCTTCATTTCAAGCACACATGAAGTATTTTTCGAGAATCAATATAGCATAGTAGGTCATAAAGTAAGTCAACAAACTTCTAAGAATTGGTATCAAACAGACTAACCACAATGCAAATAAGCTAGAAACCAGAAGAACCATTTTGAGCTTCTTTAACATTTCTGGAAATTGGAAAAGAACTGCTAAACTTTGGGGCCAAACAAAAAATGTTGGAAATACTGATGTTAATGATTAAAAAAAAAGAAAAGTACATGCCCAGATTTATGAGATGCAGTTTAAGTGATATCTAGAGGGGAAATCTATTCTTAAGTGCCTTTTTAAGAAAGGAATAAAAACAAAATGAGTGGACAAAAACCAAGTAAAATAAGCCAGAACTTGTTTATTGAAAAAGCACTAAAACAAAATATTTTGGTAAGATCGAGCAAGAAGACACAAATAGAGAATGGAAAAATGAAAATTTTATAAACGCAGTTGAAATTTGAAAATGTGAGGATATTATGAACAATTCATTTGAAAACTGACAAAATACACAAATTACTACGAGTATTTTACTCAAACTAATTGAAGATAGACATGTAATCCCACAGCTCCTAAATAGTTTCAGTAATTAAAAATTTCCCCCAAAGAAAAGCCTTTTATAGTAAGTTCCACTAACCTGTTCCATATGGTACCAATTCTTAATCTAACAGTTAACAGTTCATTCAAAATAATGGCAACAATGTATTTGATTTTGTACACATATATTTTTGTGTGTGTGTGTGTGTGTGTGTGTGTATAGTCGTCATACTTAGGGGTGCTTATATATAAGTGGAATGACAGCAATGATACATGGGATAGGAAAGAGAAATTAGGATTATTTTGTTACTATAAGGTACACTGCCCAAGAAGCAGTATATTATTATTTGAAAGAGGGGTTGCATTATTTGTAAATCTATACTGCAAACACAAGGGCAACCACAAGAAAACCACGCTAGAAGAGAGAATAATAAAATGCCAAATTAACACCATCAAAGGCACAAGACGAATGGAAGACAAAAATAGGAATAAAGAACAAGGTTAACAAATAGAAAACAGTAACATTATGGTAGATGTTTATCCAAATATATAAATACTTTGAATGTCAAGGGTGTAAATGTACCAATTAAAAGATAGATTATTATATGGAAAAACTGGGCCAGTTTAAAAAAGAAAAAATTGTCAAAGCAGGATCAAAGAACAAAACCCAATTATATGTTGGTTACAAGCAACCCACTTGAAATGTAAAGAGACATACAAATTAAAGAGAGAAAAATATGCCAGGCTAACACTAACCAAAATGAAGAAACAGGTATATTATAGAATAGCAGACTATACAGCAAGAATTACTATCAGGGATAATGATGAAAGGGGTCCATTCTCCAAGAAGACATGACTATCCTTAACATGTATGCACCCAAGAACAGAGGATCAGGATACATGAGGCAAAAACTGATAGAACTGCAGGGAGAATGATATAGTTTGGAAGTTGACCCCTCTAACTCTCTTGTTGAATTGTAATTTCCAGTGCTGGAGGTGGAACCTGGTAGGAGGTGACTGCATCATTGGTGCAGATTTCTCATGAATGGTTTAGCCCCATCCACTTGATGCTGTCCTTGTGATGGTGCGTGCTCATGAGGTTTGCCTGTTTACAAGTATATGGCTTCTTCCTTCACTCTCTCTTACTCTTGATTCTCACTATGTGAGACATCGGGTTCCTTTGCCTTCCACCATGATTGTAAGCTTTCCGAGGCCTCACCAGAAGCTGAGCAGATGCCTGGGACTGTGCTGCTTGTACAGCCTATAGAACCATAAGCCAATTAAGCTTCTTTATATATTACCCAGCCTCAGGTATTTTTTGCAATATAAGGATGGCCTGCCACAGAAAATTGGTACTGAGGAGTGGAGCATTGCTATATAGCTACTTGAAAAGCCAGAGTCTCTTCCTCCAAACAACCACCCTAGTGCCCCAGCAAGGGTTCTTAACCAGGCTGAAATGGCTGAAATGACAGAAGTAGAATTCAGAATATGGATAGGAACAAAAATCATCGAGATTCAGGAGAAAAGTCAAAACCCAATCCAAGAAATCTAAGGATTACAATAAAATGATACAGAAGCTGATAGATGAAATGGGCATTATAAGAAAGAACCAAACTGATCTGATAGAGCTGAAAAAGACACTACAAGAATTTCATAATGCAATCACGAGTATTACCAGCAGAATAGACCAAGCTGAGAAAAGAATCTCAGAGCTCAAAGATTGGCTCACTGAACTAAAACAAAAAGAATGAACAAAACCTCCAAGAAATAGGGGATTATGTAAAGGAAACCAAAGGGGAAGAAAGCAAGCAACGTGGAAAACATATTTCAGGATATTGTTCATGAAATTTCCCCAACCTCACTAGAATGGCCAACATTCAAACTGAGGAAATGCCCTGGGAGATACTTCACAAGAAGACCATACCTGAGGCACATAGGCATAAGATTTTCCAAGGTTGAAATGAAAGAAAAAAATGTAAAAGCAGCCATAGAGAAGGGGCTGCCCAGCCTTGGGACACTGCTCAGCTCTAAAGGGCCCAAGTAAGGCATGGGGTGCCACTTGTGCAGGGCACAAGCCATAAGCCTTGGTGGCTAACACGTGTTGTTAAGCCTGCAGGTGTGGAGAGTGCAAGGGTGAAGGAGGTTTGGCAACCTCCACCTAGATTTCAGAGGATGTATGAGAAAGCCTGAGTAACCAGGCAGAAGCCTGCTGCAGAGATGGAGCCCTCACAGAGAACCTCTACTAAGCCAGTATGGGGGGGAAATGTGGGGTTGGAGGCCCAACAGAGTCCCCACTGGGGTGCTCCTCAGAGAGCTGGGGGAAGGGGGCCACTGTCTTCCAGACCCCAAAATGGTTGATCCTCCAATAGCTTGCACTCTGTGCCTGGAAAAGCTGCAAGCACTAAACTCCAACCCTTTACCCTGCAAAGTCACAGAGGCAGAGCTTCCCAAGGCTTTGGGAGCCCACTCCTTATACCAATGTGCTCTTGTGAGGCACAAGGTAAGACATGGAGTCAAAGAAGGTTATTTGGGATATTTAAAAAAAGACTGCACTGCTGTATTTCAGACTTGGATGGGGCCTGCAGCCTCTTTTGGCTAATTTCTCTTGTTTGGAATGGTAATATTTATCCAATATCTGCACCCCCATTGTATCTTGGGAGTAAATACCTTGTTTGGATTTTAAAGGCTTATAGGTGGAAGAGACCTGCCTTGTCTCAGAAGGCCTTTGTACTTTTGAATGATGCTGGAATTAGTTAAGATTTTTGGGAGAATATTGGCAGAGGACGATTGTATTTTGCAATGTGAGAATATGAGATTTGAGATGCTGGGGCAGAATGATACAGTTTGCATGTGGTCTCCTCTAAAACTCATGTTGAATTATAATCCCCACTGTTTGTTGGAGGTAGGACATGGTGGGAGATAACTGGATCATTGGGGCAGATTTCTCATCAATGTTTTAGTGCCATCCACTTGGTGCTGTCCTTGTGATAGTGAGTTCTCACAATATCTAGATGCTTAAGTGTAGCATCTTCCCCCTCATTCTCTTCTGCTCTTGCTATGTGAGATGCCAGGTCCCCTGTTGGCTTCTGCCATCATTGCAAGTTACCTGAGGCCTCACCAGAAGCTGAGCAGATGCCTTGCACCATGCTTCTTGTACAACTTGCAGAATTGTGAACCAATTAAACCTTTTTACCTTATAAATTATCCAGTCGCAGGTATTTCTTTATAGCAAATTAGAGAATAGGTTAACACAGAAAAAGTTGAATTCACTATTATAGTTGGAGACTTCAACACTCCTCTATCAGAATGAAGAGATCCATCAAGCAGAAAATCAGGAAGTCAACAGAGAAAATTGATAAAACCAAAAGCTGGTTTTTGAAAAATTGATAAAATCAGTAAACCTCTGTCAAGCCAGACTGAGAGAGACAAAAATTAATATCAGAGATGAAAGAGGGGATATCACTGTAAATCCCATGGACGTAACAAAGGTAATAAAGGAGTATCACAATTGTATGCCTACAAATTTGATAACCTACATGACGAAGAAGTCCTTGAAACACAACCTGCCAAAACTCACACCAGAAGAAATAGATACTCCAAATAACACCTGTATCTATTTTAAAAATTGAATCTATTGCCTTCCCAAACAGAAAATGCTAGACTGAGGTGGGTTCACTGGTGAATTCTAAAAACGATACCAATTCTGTAGAAACTCTTTCAGAAGGTAGAAGCAGAGGGAATTCTTCCCAACTCATTCTATGAGGCCTAAAACCAAAACCAGACAAAAATATCACGAGAAAACTACAAACCAGTGTCTTTAATTAACATAGATGTAAAAATCCTCAATAAAGTATTAGCAAATCCAATTCAACAATGTATAAGAATTATACACCAGGATCAAGAGGGATTCATCCCAGATACGCAAGGCTGGTTCAGATATTGAAAATGAACTAATAGAATCTATCACATAAAGAAACTCAAGAAAAATCATATGATCACATCAATAGATCCAGAAAAATATGACAAAATCCAAAACCCATTCATGATAAAAATTTTCCATAAACTAGACCAGGCGCAGTGGCTCATGCTTGTAATCCTAGCACTTTAGGAGGCTGAAGCAAGCAGATCACTTGAGGTCAGGAGTTCAAGACCAGCCTGGCCAACATGGTGAAACCCTGTCTCTACTAAAAATACAAAAAATTAGCTGGGCTTGGTGGCAGGCGCCTGTAATCCCAGCTACTCGGGGGGCTGTGGCAGAATTGGTTGAACCCAGGAGGCGGAGGTTGCAGCGAGCCGAGATTGCGCCACTGCACTCCAGCCTGGGTGAGAGTGAGACCCCGTCTCAAAAAAAAAAAAAAAAAAAAATTCTCCAATTCTCCATAAAAAAGGAATGGAGGGGAACTTTCTCAACCTGGTAAGGAATATTTACCAAAGATCCCCAACCAGTAACATCATATTTAATGGTGAGAAATTTAGCAGTTTTCCTACTAAGGAGGAAGGCAAAGATGTTTCTTTTCACTATTTCTTTTCAACATCCTAATGGAAGTCCTGGTTAATGCAATAAAACAAGAAAAGGAAATAAAAAGTACACTACTTGGGAAAGGACATATAACATTAACATTGTCTCTGCTAGCTGATGACATGATCATTCATGTAGAAAATCCAAAAGAATTGATTACAAATCTCCTGGAACCTATATGCAATTACAGCAAGGTTGCAGGATACAAGGTTATTATATGAAAGTAAACTGCTTTCTTATGTAACAGTAATAACTCAAATTTGAAATTAAAACCCAATGCCATTTATATTAGCACCCCAAAATGAAATATTTAGGTAAAAATTAAGAAAATATACATAAGATCTACATGAGAACTACAGACCTGATTAAAGAAATCAAAGACCCAAATAAATGGAGAGATATTTCATATTCATGGATAGGAAGACTCAATATTGTCAACATGTCAGTTCTTCCCAACCTGATCTATAGATTCAATGTAATCCCAATCATAATCCCAGCAATATTTTGTGGATATTTGATAAACTGATTTTAAAGTTTATATGCAGAGGCAAACAACCTGGAATAGCAAACACAATATTGAAGGAGAAAACCAACACTGAAGGAGGAATGATTGATAGCACTCATCCTCAAGATTTAATATAAAGCTATAATAAGATAGTGTGGTATTGGCAAAAGAATAGACAAATGATCAATGAAACAGAACAGAGTTTAGAAACAGACTCATATTTAGTCAACTGATACCTAGCGAAAGGACAAAGGCAATACAATGTAGTAAAAATAGTCTTTTTGACAAATGATGCTGGAATAACTGGACATCCACATGCAAAAAAAAGAATCTAGACACAGACTTTCCACCCTTCACAAAAATTAACTCAAATGGATCACAGAACTGAATGTAAAAGTATACAACTCCTAAAAGAAAACATAGAAGGAAATTTAGATGGTCCTCTCTTTGACAGTGGCATTTTAGATACAACACCAAAGGCATAGTTCATGATCCACAAAGGTCTCTCCCCTCCCATCTCTGACCCCAAACAACCATTAATCTGTTCTCCATTTCTATAACTGTATCATTACATGAATGCTATATAAATGGAATTATATGTGATCTTTGGGGACTGGATTTCTTTAAAACCCAGCATTCATGTTGTTGCATGTACTAATGGTTCATTCCTTTTTTAAGTAGTATTCTATGGTATAGGTTTACTGGTGTGTTTTTTCATTCATCTATTGAAGGACATCTGGGTTTCCAGTTTTGTCTGTTACAAATAAAGCTGTTATGAACATTTATGTGCAGGTTTTTATGTGAACATAAGATTTTATCTGGGATAAACAGTCAATACTTTTATGGGCATTGTGCTGCTGATAATGTTGGAGAAAGACCACTTCACAAGAATTATGGAATAAAATATACTAAAGCTTGGTAACTAACATGAGTTGGAGTATTTTATCAGTAAAAGTACATTCTTTTTTAGTAAGGGAAATTTTTATACTATCTGAAGTATCTGTGGAAGAAGACAAGCATCAAAACTGGCAACCAGAAAAAATAGCTGGAAGACATAGTAGATGTAGAATATCCACTGAAAATATATTAATATTCTCCAAACTAAACTGATCCATATACTGAAGACTCTTTAGGGGAAGAATGCCTCTTTACCTTTGAGATCCTACTTCTGGGGTCACTTACAGACAACCAAAGGGTAACAATCTCCTAAGCAATTTAATTATCATTACAGAAAACAGGCAGTTACTTTCTAGTGCCAGGTCCTTTTTCACATAGGAAGAAAGGTCTAAATGTTATTATGGCCACCTAAAGTTAAGCTGCTAAATAATCAGTACACTACACACTTTCTCTGAATTCATTTATTTAGAGGTAAAACACAGCCATTCAAAATTGTGGAATACAATGTCTACACACAGAATAAGGTTGGGGAATTAAGCTGAATTGTTATATTCCATTCACATTAATAAATATTTTTAAAGAAGAAATTGTAGATTTTAAAAGCTTCATTAGACACTAGTGACACATACAAATAACTAAACTCTCATACTGCTTGATTTTCAGGTTGAAAGGTTACAATAATCTATATATTTCAATTACATGGCAGTAAATACAAAAGCATTTTAAACATCTTTTGAACTGTGTAGTATACTATAAGCAGGAGTTTATTCTAAAACATTCCATCATTCTTCTGACCTGTTTATGGGTCATGCTGGACACCAGCAATCCACATCACATAAATTATCCACCAGTAATGAGGTGTAAAATCAATTATGCATGTATTTTGAATAGAAATTATTTTTAAATGTCAGAGAGAATGCTATTATTGGCCAACTTGAAATTTCCTAATTAGCTATCTGAGCTATTTAAGTCTGTATTTCAGTGTCTTCATTTTTTTAAATGAGAGAACTGGACTAGATTTTATATAAGTACCTACTAAAGCCTAGTGTTTTGCAGTTACTTCCTTCCCTGTCAAAATTTTGCCTCCTTTGATTTTCAATATATATATATTTTTTTGTCTTACTCTGTTGCCCAGGCTAGAGTGCAGTGACGTGACCTTGGCTCACTGCAACCTCTGCCTCCTGGGCTCAAGCAATCCTCCCACCTCAGCCTCCTCAGTAGCTGGGACCACAGGCATATGCTACAAAGCCCAGATTATTTTTTATAGAAACAGGGTTTCACCATGTTGCCCAGGCTGGTCTTGAATTCCTGGGCTCAAGTAATCTACCCACCTCAGCCTCCCAAAGTGCTGGGATTACAAGGGTGAGCTACCGTGCTGGCCCAAAACTAACTTTCAAAGTGACTTTCAAACACTTCCTTCTAACCCATGATTATCCTTTTCAAAACCTTGTCTAAATCCTTCAGAGTTCCAAACATTTCCACTGAACCCATACTTCATGAGTTTAAAACAACCAAAACAGTTCACTTTGTTGGCAAAGGCCATCTCTACCCAAGTAAGATTATTTACTCGTTATTCAATTTAGTACCGACACCTCCATCCATAACCTACACTATTGTCCACTAAACACTCCCTACCTGTGTAAATTCCGTATCAAGGGTAAAACCTTATAAGATTTTTCAGACAACTGGCATTTAAGTGACTTGTTTATAAATTTTAAAATAAACCATGTTCTTTGCAGTATCCTGCCAGGCAACACATCAAATATTTCAAAAGGCAGCCATACATTTGCTTTAATGCTTGCTAAAACAGCTTAAGGTCTAATATAATTTTAAAATAGTCAAACAAATTTGTTTTTACTCTTCATTTCACAACTATAGAGCAGAGAATAAGCCCAATAATGGCCACTTTTACTAACTCATCACCATATTCATAAAACTTTCCTCTGCAATTCATTCTACTTCACATATCAATGCACTTGGTAAGAAAATAACAAAATGACAAGCAGTAAAATCTAATTCATGCCAGAACACTGGAGAAGTTACATGGGAAGCAAAAACATACACAACTTTACAAAAGTTGGGAATACTGTTTTCAAATAAGCAATAATCAAAGTGGGACTTTCATGCTAGAAGTCTCACTCAGTCAAAATCACGATTTGTAAGAACAAGTGGTGCCACGAGTGTCCAAACATACAGCACGATGCCAATCCAACTGGAAGAGATTTTCACCCAGACAGCTGTCCACTGACTTTTCATCTCACGAGAGGGTTCATACCTAAAATTTCAGGGAAAATTATTAAAAAGGGGCAAGGGGGTTGAATTATCAGCCACCAAGCTATGAAGCTTCATTAATTCAGAAGCGTGCTTTGTATACAGTTTGTGATTTCAGATATATCATTGCTGCATCTAATCTGCTCCCTTTCTTTCCACACTGCTAGTGTGAAGGTAAAAATCTGTTATTTCCTTTAATGGAGTAAAGTATACAGGCCTCTGAAATAGTTATTTTGCATAATCTCTGAAGCACTTTATGCATGTCTGCCATGTTATTAGACAGAAGAGGAACTGAATGTGACCTCTGGATAAATGAGATGTCACTATTACATAAGATTGTTCAAGATGTATATGGAACTCCTCACCTGATTTCCACTCCCCCAACCCCCTCCCCCGCCCCTCCCTTCTCAGAATTAAGAGACTGGTATGACTCAGAGATATCTCCTTAAAAAAAGAAAGAATTAAGAGACTGGGAAGGAAATATATCTCAAGTTTAAGTGATTTTTGAGTTAATGAAATATACCAAAATCCTTCTGGTATAAAGCCTTAATATCTACTATTATGTGACAGCCAAGGATCTGAGTTAAGAACCAGCTGGTACTCGGGAGGCTGAGGCAGGAGAATGGCGTGAACCTGGGAGACAGCTTGCAGTGAGCTGAGATCAAGCCACTGCACTCCAGCCTGGGTGACAGAGCAAGACTCCATTTCAAAAAAAAAAAAAAAAAGAACCAGCTGGATTCTTATAGCTTAATACGCTACAGTGTAAGAATTAAAAAATATATATACTTTTCAATAATAAAAATCAGTAAAGGCTGCACTCAAAGACATACAACAAAGAATAATCTTTTTCCTCCATCTTTTGCTGATACTGAGAGCCGCCTTACAATTTGTTTATTAATATTATGCATTAAAAAGTTATTAAAAACAGAACTTCCCAAACCACATAGTTCAATTTGAATCTTTGACCAAATCTTTCAGTAATCATTTGGACAAAACCAGAACTTTCAAAAATGAAACACTATAAATCACTATCTTCCTTTTAACAGAAAAAGATTTATGGATTAAGTTTGAAGTGATTAAAAAAAAAAGTAGCTTGTAAGAATTCTAAGCTTGTAGAATTTGTAGAAATTGTTGCTTGTAGAAAGAATTCTAAGCTTGTAAAAATTGTGGCTTGTAAGAATTCTAAGAATCTATCTACATTAATGAATTCATACTTAAATTTAAAAATTTTCAGAGCTTTTAATGACAGTTCAAACAAAAGAGAAAAAAGGATGTATCCTTTACTTCACTATCTTTACAGAATTGAAAAAAAAAATGTTAGATCCACTATCAACATGGATTTTTGTAAAAAGTATTAGTTTCATGAAAATTTTTATTTTAATCTCTCCAAGATTTGGAACTATTTCAATGTTTGTGTTACTGTTAAAGCAAGGAAGTAAAGACTGCATTTCTCATGCTGATCTCACTATTCATTTAGCTGTACATTTTGAAATATATCAGAGGATAAAAAGTACTTCATATCACATCATGGTTTCACAAGAGAATCATAAAATGCCATCAGAATTCACACATCCAGAGTTTTCATGAAATATAAATACCTGTACCAGTTGGTAAGGGTCATCATGATATAAAGTGAAGCCAGGAAAAGCATGAAGTGAAAGAAGGAATAACTGTAAGTGACACCATCCCTTTCATTATCTACAGCTCGGTGAACATCGTCCCCATCCTCCAGTGATCCATCACTTCTAGCTCCACCATCTTCTATTAATGTAGATTCATCACTTGTTAGAGTCAGTTTATTAACCTGACTATTGTTTGAAGTACGGATGCTGTATGAAAGAGAGTTTAGGAGGAGAGAAAAAAAAGAACATTTTTAAAAGAAATGATTCATAAATAAACAGCTAGACTTCTTGTTTAAAGAAAAAAATTCCATAGTTTTTCCTACCTGGAATAAAATACACACAACAAAAAGAGAATTAGTCCTATAATTCCTTGAGCATGCCACCACTGGACTGACTGCCCTTCCTTTGGGACAGTGCTTGTTGTATTGTAGCCAATTATGCTTAGTAGACTTGGGTTGCAATTTGTTTCTGTAATATAAAGCCAAATTAAAATGTTAGAATATATTAAAAAGATGTTTTTCAGAGCAAACAAAAGTTATTTTTAACTCTCTATACCCCTGCAAATTGAGAAACAATTGCTGGAAAAGGCATCAGTATAACAAAAATAATTGAAGAAAACTTGCACTTATTAATAAGACCTTTGAAGTGTTAATAGTTCTGATTTTATAGAAGTACCTGGAAAAGTTAAATCATTTAATTTTCAACAACATGTGATAGCTGAGAGATAATTACCTCTACAATCAGGAAAGAGGTGAAATATAGATGAACTTTCTAAGGTTAGTATAATTCTAGTAGATTTAGAAAGAAAATTCAGAGATTATAAACCACAATGCACTGGCTTTTCTATCATATGTTGAGATTATGATACAGACTTTATGAAGCTTATCAATTTGATACAGCACATTGTTAAAAAACCAAGACAGCTTACACAAAAACCAGTTATAAGGACTCCAGCAAATGCCTCATGGAAATTACCCAATAAAGTATAATGACCTACTGCTTACTCAAGTCTTATTCTTTTATAAAGAAGAAAGTAGGCAAGGTGCGGTGGCTCATGCCTGTAATCCCAGCACTTTGGGAGGCCGAGGCGGGCGGATCACAAGGTCAAGAGATAGAGATCATCCTGGCCAACATGGTGAAACCGCTTCTCTACTAAAAATACAAAAATCAGCTGGGCGTGGTGGCATGTGCCTGTAGTCCCAGCTACTCGGGAGGCTGAGGCAGAAAGACTCGAACCCGGGAGGCGGTTGCAGTGAGCCGAGATCATGCCACTGCATTCCAGCCTAACGACAGAGCGAGACTCTGTCTCAAAAAAAAAAAAAAAAAGTAGGATTGCTAAAATATTCACTAAAGTGTCTAAAATACATATTTTTCTCCTGCAAAGCCAGATCTGTCAAACTCCATCTTACTAATGAAAATGATTCTTACCTTAAAGCCAATTAGGTAAGGCTATTTCCTTCTCTAAAGCAAACTACTAATAATTTTTTTCTAACCACCTACCTGGAAAAAAACAGGAAATCTTTGTGTAATACATCAAAACAAAAAAACAAAAAATAAATTGGTCTCCAAGTTATAAAGTACCTATGATAAAATACCTACAGTTTGTAAACTCAATGAGATTCATATAACATCAGATAAATTTTTTAGGAAAAGAGATCATTTTCTTCTTTTTAATAGGTAATAATTTTTGTCTATTCTAATTTGTCTCCTTTCAACATATGTTTCTATTCTCATGGTATGCAATATAACTAGCCTATAATAAGATGCATTACAAAGCCCAATTATCAAATTCAATTGTAAGGTAGTCACAGGCTAAAAGAGTAATTTAATAATGTGAAAAAATTATACTGTTCACAATTGAATCAACAGGAATTTGAAGAGTTTTTCTTTCTATATACGACAATTATATGCTCTATGCAAATCAGATACCTTTCTTATAATTTCACCCAGTTTCTTACATAGACATACCTTGTTTTACTGTGCTTTGCCTATTTTTTTTTTTTTTTTTTTTTAGCATTTTACAGATACTGTTCTTTTTACAAATTGAAGGTTTGTGGCAACCCTGCATTAAACAAGTCTATTGGTTCCATTTTTTCTAACAGTATGTACTCACTTTGTTTCACATTTTGGTAATTCTTGTAATATTTCACAATTTGTCATTATTATTAATTACATCTGTTATGGTGATCTCTCATCAGTGACCTATTATGTTACTATTGTAATTTCTTTCGGGCACCACAAATCACACCCATATAAGATGGTGAAATAATCGACAAACATTGTGTGTGTTCTGACTGCTCCACCAACCAGCCATTTCCTTGTCTCTATCCCTCTCCTTGGGCCTATTTCAAGACACAACCATATGGAAATTAGGCCAGTTAATAACCCTGCAATGGCCTCTAACTGTTCAAGTAAAAGAGTCCCCTTTCTCACTTAAATCAAAAGCTAGAAATGATTAAGCTTAGTTAAGAAAGCATGCCAAAAGCTGAGACAGGTCAAAAGCTAGGCCTTCTGTTCCAGTTAGCTGAGTTGCGAATGCAAAGAAAAGAAAAAGTTCTTGAAGGATATTAAAAGTGCCACTCCAGTGAACACAAACACACAAATGATAGATAAGAAAGCAAAGCAGTCTTATTGCTGATATGGAGGAGAAAGTTTTAGTGACCTGGATAGAAGATCAAACCAGCAGAGCATTCCCTTAAGCCAAAGCCTAATCCAGAGCAAGGCCCTCTCTCTCACTTCAAGTCTATTAAGATTGAGAGAGAGAAGGAAGCTGTAGAAGAAAAGTTTGAAACTAGATGGGGTTGGTTGTTGAGGTTTAATGAAAGAAACTGTCTCCGTAACATAAAAGTATAAGGTGAACCAGTAAGTGCTGATGCAGAAGCTACAGCAAGTCATCCTAAAAATCTAGCCAACAAAATTAATGAAAGTAGCTACACTGGTCAGGCATGGTTGCTCACGCCTGTAAGTTCAGCACTTTGGGAGGCTGAGGCGGGTGGATCACCTGAGGTCAGGAGTTCGAGAACAGCCTGGCTAACATGGTGAAACCCAATCTCTACTAAAAATACAAAATTAGCTGGGTGTGGTGGCGCAGGCCTGTAATCCCAGCTATTCAGGAGGCTGAGGCAGGAGAATGGCTTACCAAGGAGACAGAAGTTGCAGTGAACGGGGATTGTGCCATTGCACTCCAGCCTGTGCAACAAGAGTGAAACTCCATCTCAAAAAAATAAAAATAAGAAAAAAGAAAGCAGCCAAACCAAACAACAGATTTTCAATAAAGACAACATAGACTTCTATTGTAAGAAGATATAATCTAGGACTTTCATAGCTATAGAGAAGTCAGTCAATGCCTGGCTTCAAAGCTTAAAAGGACAGGCTGATTCTCTTGTTAGGGACTAATGCAGACAATGATTTTAAGAGAAAGCCAATGTTCTTTACCATTCCAAAAATCCTAGGGCCCTTAAGAATTATATTAAGTCTATTCAGCCTCTCTATGAATAGAAAAAAGCCTAGATGACAGCACATCTGTTGAAAGTATGGGTTACGGAATATTTTAAGCCCATTGTTGGGACTTACTGCTAAAAGATCCTTTCAAAATATTACTACTCAATGACGATGCACCTGGGTCACCCAAAAGCTCTGATAGAGATGTACAGGGAGATTAATATTTTCATGTCTGCTAACACAGTATTTATTCTGCAGCCCATGGAAAAAGGAGTAATTTCAACGTTTAAATCTTATTATTTAAGAAATATATTTTGTAAGGCTATAGCTGCCATAGAGTAATTCCTCTGATAGATCTGGGTGGACAAAGTAAACTGAAAACCTTCTGGAAAAGATTCACCATTCTAGATGCTATTAAGAACATTCATGATTCATGGGAAAAAATGTCAAAATATCAACATTAACAGGAGTTTGAAAGAAGTTGATTCTAACCCTCATAGATGACTGAGGATTTCAAGACTTTAGTGGAGGAAGTAGCTACAGATACGGTGGAAAGAGCAAGAGAACTAAAAAGTGGAACCTGAAGATGTGACTGAATTGCTGCAATTTCATTATCAAGCCTGAATGATGAGGTGTTGCTTCTTATGGATGAACAAAGTAGTTTTTTGAGATGGAATTTACTCCTGATGAAGATGCTATGAATATTATTGAAATGACAGCAAAGGAGTTAGAATATTACATAAACTTACTTAATGAACCAGGAGCAGGTTTAAGAGGATTGACTCCAATTTGGAAGGAAATTCTACTCTGGGTCAAATGCTATCAAACAGCATCATATGCTACAGAGAAATATTTTGTGAAAGGAGGAGTCAATCAATGGGCAAACTTCATTGTGGTCTTAGTTTAAAGATACTAAAACAGCCATGCCAACCTGCAGCAACCAACACCCTGTTCGGTCAGCAGCCGTCAACATTGAGGCAAGACCTCCTACCAGCAAAAAGATTACAACTTGATGAAGGCTCAGATGACTGTTAGCATTTTTTGGAAATAAAGTACTTTCAAATTAAGGAATGTACATTGTTTTTCTAGACATAATGCTATGGCACACAACAGACTAGTGTAAGATAAACAAAAGTTTTATATGCACTGGGAAACCAAAAAATCATGCTTTACTGTGATGCTTGTTTCATTGTGGTGCTCTGAAACTGAACTCACAGTTTCTCTTAGGTATACATGTAACCTTCTTATAATTTTGTTAGTGATGGAAGAAACTAAGTGAAATAAATAATACATCAAAGATCAAAACTTTGTACTTTATTCCTCTAGAAGCCTAATTTTTAAGTAATTTAATCTCACAAAAAGACAATTTCTGGAAAAACAACAACTGCAGAACCTTTAGGAACATGTAATATAAATAAAACACACCTGGTTCATTGGTCATAGCTGACCATGTCAAATACATTGTGTAGACTGTAATTACTGAAGACTGTAACAAACCAGATCTTGGTTGTGATTCCTACAAAAAAAAAAAAAAAAAAATATATATATATATATATAGCAACACAGGTAAATAGTCTGACATCATTCTAGATTTTTGAAAACTTAAAAAGGTATAAGCTTCATAAAAACTAATGCTTTAAAGGGCATACTTGGATTTTTGGCAGTATAGACATTACAGAAGCACCAACGCAGAGGAGCATGTTGACACTGATGAACGCCTTGTTTTCTGAACAACTGGCTGGATGAGTGTAGTAGACAAAGAACAGGACGATAGCAACTAAAGACAGCAGATAATTCAGAGCTGTAGCTGATAACAAGGCTGTGAAAGAAATATAATTGGATAATTAGCTTTTTATCAGAAATTATTAGCAATTAGAAATGGGACCTGTTTTATAAACAATCTGTCATTTTGTCAAAAAATATATTTTAAGCAACTAACATTGTCAGCATTATAAAGGCTATAAAAGCAGGAAAGAAAATTAATTCTGACCTTTATTGCTGAAGAATTCTAGTTTTTACACATAGCTATTATGTATTTGCAAGGATGGCAAGTTAGTAAGAAACTAATAGGATTTAATACTAATATCTATATTAGAGTTTACAAACTATGTTTACATGTTAGCCATTATTTTCAAAATAAAGAAAAATAACTATAAGAGGAATATTACTTAAGGTTTTTAAAGAACCATTATCACTCAGTTGTAAACAAGGGCATTAAGAAAATTATTTTCATTATTAATGTTAAGCCCTCACAACAATGATGCTTTTCCTCATGAACTAAAATCTTAAAAGATACATATTATGCAAGGGTAAGTCATTATTTAATAAGTCAACCTATGCTTTTTCTATGTAAATTTCAACATACACAAGTTGTTTAGCCTTTATGCTAATATGTGCCTAATATACAAGTATTTATGTAGATTTGCCTCGCTGACAGGGGATCCATCCAACAAATATTTATTGAATGCCTGCATTCCAGGCCCTGGGGATACAGCAGGGAACAAAAGACACAGAAACCCTTGCATTAGACTTTGCATTTAGAGAACAAGGTATTCAATGTAAGTGAAATTTCCAAATGACTAAAGCTTATTTCTTTGAGCACCAAATTATTTTAACTTGAACCACTGAGATAAAACACCACAAATTAGTTGTGTGAGAGGAATATTAGGCCAGCAGACACACTGGATTTGGCTTGCACTCCAATTTAAAATTTTTTTAGCTGAAACTCAGTCATTTAGCATGAAAATCCAGATTTATGACTTCTTTTGAAAAACATTAGAAAAATCAAGCAATACTAAGTTCACATTCCCACAAGGCAACTAATAAATGGAGCTGAGCAGTAGTAATGCACTTTAGATGGGGCATTCATACTCTCCAATTCATTGTAGTCTATTTGCACAAAGCTTATGCACTTAAACTCTGTCCTCCTGTTCCCTCATTTTTGTTACCTGGTTTGGCCCTGTAAGCATTTGAATTGGGATATCTGTTTTCAAGTATAACCCCAAAGGACTCAACATCATCATTATAAATAATCATTAATTACATTACTATAGGAATTCCTTTAGTTGTTATTGATGCACATAAAAGCATCCTTTGCACTTGAATAAAACATCCGAGTTGCTTTTTATATTTTTTATTTGCTGCTGTTTATGAATTGTATCACTGTGTGTTTATCTATTCCTAGCAATCCTCTTCCCTTTAATATTTTGCTTTTAACCCATTGTAGGCTAGAAAATTAGGCTATAAAGTGCACATGCTTTCAGTAATATGCTTTGGAACATTTATTTTAGCTATTCAGGTTCTTTTGGATTCTTTCCTGGTTCTTGGGTTATGTTCCCAGTTAATCTGCTAAAAGATCTGCTCACCAAGTTGCTGATACAATGTGATATTTTGACACTCACAAAGTTTAAATTAAAAACCTCATCATAGGAAAGTAGACCATAAAAATCCTAAGTGATTTACCTAGTCTACATATCTATTCTCGACTTCAAAGTTCAACTATACTGAAGTTGTTCTGCGACGAAAGCTTACCTGCATACCAACATCTCGAGTTCCCTTCTTCCATTTTTTCAACCCACGATTCATTCCATGAATGTGCAAAATCAATAAGTAAGACTAGTTGTATGAGGATGAAACAAAAGGCACCTGCCATGCCTACATAAAACCACACTGAAAGGGAAAGAAAGCATACATAAGTGATTGGTTAGTTTGATTTTTATCATTTCCTTTCAAAATCACAGTACACAAAAAGGAAAATAAAATTTTATATGAACATCTTGATTTTGCCAACTGGGGAAACACACACACACACACCCCCAAACAAAAAGACAAACAATTATAGTTCCAGGTGACAATTATTTCAGATTCCTTTATAAAATATCAATGTCAAACAACTTAAAAAGGATTTCTTACCAGTTGTAAAAGTTCCTTCTGGAATGAAGAATGCCCCAATAATAATTGCAATTGCTGCAGCAAATTTAAAGAACCAAAATCTAAAACAAAAAGAAATATAATTTTTTATTAATAGACATTCATCAAATAATTTCATATATGAAATCATTTAACTGCATCTTAACAAATAGCTACACTTTATGTGAATGTTCTACTTCTTTCTGAGGATATTATGATCTGGAGTGTAGCCATATTTGTAACTACAAAACAAGGTAATCATCATATTTAGATAACATAGTTTGGAGAGAGAGTGAAATTAACCATTACCATGAACCCAAGCTTATATTATAGATCTTTCCAATTGGAAAAAACAAAGCAAAAAAAATCTGATAAGAAAGGCAAGTCAACATGTGAAAGGAATGGATTAAAGCCCAGACCACGCTAGAGGAAGCATCAGAGCAAATGGCTGGAAAAGAAAGGGAAATGATAAGACATTTTGGGGACTACTGGACACTGGCTCTGAGCTGACATTGATTCCAGGGGACCCAAAACAACATTGTGGTCCCCCAGTTAAAGTAGGCGCTTATGGAGATCATTGGGTCACTCCACCAGGAAAAAAACCACGACCTGCTGAGTTGCTTGCTGAAGGCAAAGGGAATACACAATGGGTAGCAGAAGGCAGTCATCAATACCAGCTATGACCACATGTCCAGCTGCAGAAACGAGGGCTGTAATTGTTGTGAGTACTTCCTCCTTGTTTTGTCAAAAACATGTTCATGCATGCATATACTTGTACTAAGAAAATATCTTCATTTTATTTCCATTCTCCTTTATCATGTGACATAAGATTTACTGACTTCACATCAGCATTTAAGTATTGTTAACTTTATGTAATTAGTATTTTGGTTGGGGACTGGTGCGTTTTCAGTTGTAAGGTTAGTTGTATGACCTTATTATTGTCTTTATTTGCAGATTATGTATGATCTCAGGAGATGTATACGGGTTCAAGTTGACAATGGGTAGACTTCTGATAGTTATACTGAGTGTCAATTGAATTCAAGGATGCAAAGTACTGACTTGTAATGGTTAATACTGAGTGTCAACTTGATTGGATTGAAGGGTGCAAAGTACTGATGCTGGGTGTGTCTGTGAGGGTGTTGCCAAAGAAGATTAACATTTCAGTCAGTGGGCTGGGAAAGGCAGACACACCCTTAATCTGGGTGGGCACCATCTAATCAGCTGCCAGCAGGGCTAGAATATAAAGCAGGCAAAAAAAAAAAGTGAAAAGACTAGACTGGCCTAGCATCCCAGCCTACATCTTTCTCCTGTGCTGGATGCTCCCTGCCCTTGAACATCAGGCTCCAAGTTCTTCAGTTTTGGGACTAGGACTGGCTCTCCTTGCTCCTCAGCTTGCAGATGGCCTATTGTGGGACCTTGAGATCATGTGAGATAATACTTAATAAACTCCCCTTTATATATATCTATCTATCCTATTAGTTCTGTCCCTCTAGAGAACCCTAATACACTTGATTATCAGAAAAAACAACAATTACATAAACTGCTTTTAAGACCATTTTGAGAAAGATGTATTTCTCACTAATTCATTATGGAAAAATGAGAATGTTAGTTCCATTTCACAGGCTTATTTCACATAAGTGGGATAATGTATCAAAGTATAAGGTGAACTGTATAAATGAATAGTTTTTATAAACACATGATAAATGCCTCCATCTAAAACTCTAATAATTTAATAAAATAATCAATGACCAAAGGAACAAAATAAAGGAAAAGCAACCCGTCACATATTTTCTCATTAATATTTATATTCTACTTGTTTATACTTTTTGTCTTTGGTAGCACATATAACTAGATAAGCAACAGCAGATATTAAAACAGTCAAATAAGGGTACCAGAAGTAGTGCTCTATATGAAGGAAGATTGATAAAAGAAACCCTGAAGTTTCTTTCTGGGTTGTCCAATACAACCAACCTAGAAAAATCTGCTCTCTGGGTCTAGGGAACTGAGAGTTCTATGTAAGTGGACTGGTCCACCTAAAGTTAACAGTAGAAGGAGAAATAGCTATTCCCTTAGTAGTCACAAATATAATAGAGCCTCTTTTTTAGTATGAAAATATAAAACACTGTGGATCAGAGGTTATCACAGCTATTATTTAATATCCAAAGTCTGACATTCTCCAGTAAAAACAAGATTTTCTTATCCTGTCATTCATGAATAAAGTAATTCTGCAAATTGTATAAGTTTATTTTACCTTAAAGTTTCCTTGGATAAACTGGCAATTATCAAGAAGAGGCTACCCAAGCTTTTATATTGAAGCTTATTTAAAAACTTACCCATTGTGCACTGCAGCTCTAGGATCACTGCTACTCTTCACTTTGATCATTAGTAAAGAGAGAAGAAGATAGAACATAGCCAAACCAAAGCACAAACGATATACAGCTTTATAGCCAACCAAAATGTTACAAGGGACAACACCTTTCTCATTCTCACAAAATCCAGGAATCTAGAAAAACAAAAGAGTTTATGATCCATCATTTTTTTTCATTAAGTAAAAATAAAAATTACATGTAATCAAATAGTTTAAGTAAAGGTTTAGAAAACTGGCATTTGCTTTACAATTTATGATGAATATGTACTCAAGATGAGTCTGATACATTTTAATCACATACAGTGGGGAAAAAAGAGTTAAATCCCCATCTGCGCAAATCATAAACTACAATACCAACTCTATGCTGGTTGCTTATTTTGAGTTATAGATTTATCCTACATTTTAAAAACTTGCATTCTACTTGAATAGCACGATAGACTTGTTTTAGTAGTGTAAGTGCTATTTCTGAGACTACTGTTCAGAACTATTAATACATCTATTATTCATATATATAAGAATAAATTATTTCCTCCCACTCTTTCCAGTCCCAGCACTCTAAAAAAACTGCTTTTCCAGGATACTAGTCATGTACTGGTTTCCAAACCCAAAGGCTACTGCTTAATCACATTCCTTAATCTCATTTTTATATAGACACTATCCCTGTCATTCTTAAAACTTTCTTCCTAGAACCTATACATTTTCTTTGTTCTTTTCTGTTATCCCTTCCCTCCCAGTTTTCTAGGATCAGAATCAGGTTTTCCTTTCTCCACTAACTCCCTTAAGTAAGAGATTTTGGCAGAGTTCTAGCTCTGCTCACTCTGAATGATCTTCAGCATACGCTGCCATGGTTTCAACATTCAATTTCTATCCTCAAGGCAGTCTCTAGCTCTGATTTCTCTTTTAAATTCCTTCATGTTTTCTACTTACTGCTGTATATTATTATGGACTTCGTGTTTGTGTCTACCCAAAATTAAATGCTGAAACTCTAACCCTCAATGGGAGGATAGTGGGAGATAGGGCCTTTATGTGGTAATTAAATCATGAGGGTAGAGCCCTCAGGATGGGATTAATGCCCTTATAAAAACAGACAGAAGAGAGCTGCTGCTTTCTTTCAAAAATGTAAGATGGCCATGTGTAAACCAGGAATAAGATCCTCATCAGAACTTGACCATGGTGGCACCCTGATCTCGGACTTTCAGCCTCCAAAACTGAGAAATAAATTTTTGTTGTCTTAAGCCACCCAGCCTATGATATTCTTGTTATAGCAGCCTGAACTGAGTAAGACATACATATATATATATATATATACATGTACACGATACAATACCACCAAGTCAACATGTTAGAAACTAAATTTATTATGTGTTCCCAATCTCCTTCCACAACCTGACTCTCTCTAAAAATTTTCCTTTCTAGGTTAATAGCAATACTTTCCTCCCGGTTTTGTAGGACCAGAACCTGGTTGTTATTTATGATTCCATATCACTGCCAATATTTCAGTGCTAGGCTCAGTCAATTTTACATCCAGAAAATCTTATTTCAGGTCCGCTATTCTCTTCTTGATTATACCACTGCAACAGCCTCCATATTTAACTGCTTGACTTTTATACTTTATTAATTGTAAGATTAATCTTCCTAAAGTATAGATACTTTGCTTGAAAAGCTCTTTTATACTCATTATGCTTTCTATTTTTCAATCTCTGTATATGCAAGTTCTAATCATTCTTAGAACATCCTTTTTTCCATGACCCATTGAGATTCTGACACCTGGTTAGAATTATACTTCTTTCTGTGTATTACCACAGTACATTTCCTGTACCACCATCATAGAACTTAACAAACTAATGTATATTATCTTTTTCCTAAAAGATTATGAACTACAACTAGGATTACATACTGTCTTATTCTATATTATTCTGTTTACAATATCCCCGAATCAATTTTATACATATACATATATACCCTATAGCCTCAGTTAATCAATAAATAAGAAACGAGACTAACCTTATTCAGTTGTTCTTCCATTCCTGGTATCAACATTACACAAGCTACACATACTCCAACAAGCAAGAAAAGTGCATAGATCAATCTAGTTACAGTGGAGTTGTTTCCACTAGGACAGCATCGGCATAGCAAACACGGGGCACTTCCACACAAACATGGTATCTGGGAAAAAGAATATTATTGAAAATATTATTAAGAATCAGTAAATCACTATATCTTAAAATGATACAATGAAAATTGACATTCTATCTGTTAAAAAAGAAAAAAGACTAAAAGTAATTACATCAAGGGACATACGGTATTTGGTTCATATAAATTATCTATATACCACAAAACTTAGCAACTTCTAAGAAGGAGTAAAGACAAAAAAAATCCTTGGACTCTATGCCAAGTAAAACGGACAAATCAGCTAAAACAAAAAGGGGAAAAAATCATCAGCAGTAACCAAAGTTTAAAGAGGAAAAGAAATGGAATATTCATGAGTAGCACAGCTGCTAAGCCCACCTCCAGCCCCTGACCTTTAGCCCCCAGATACTAGACTGATGAATACAAAAAATTCCGAGGATTCTCAAATACATCCAGGGAGGGAAAAAAAAGTGAATTGATATATTTTCCTTCTTTTGACCTGGCGATAGTGATAATAATGAAAACTACAACTAGAGTGAGGCAAAAAGGATAATAATACAACTGGGGCTAGCTTTTCTCCAGTAACCACCACACTAAACTAGCAGTATGCCCCCAAGGGAACAGAATATCTTCCTGTCTAGGAGAGAGGAACACTGGTACAGAGTATTTAACAGTATCTAAGAAAGCCACAGAGTAAATATTCTCATAATATCATAACCTGGGCTGAGATGTCAGACTTCTAGAAGGTGGATGAACCAGATCTTCCAGCCCTAGAATTACAGCTCTAGGGGAAAAGAGTCTTAGATATCACAGTAAGGGAATGTTGTAGAAGCCAGACCACTACACCAACCAATATAAGGTAAGAATAAAGCTGCTTTATATTAAACGTCCACAAAACGGAAATACATGTCATGGCAACTATGTAAATATACTTTAGCAAAAGTTAAACATAAACATCTCCCCTCAGAAAAAGGAATGAAGAAAATATAAGGCATATGAAGAATTCAGTCTGAAATAAATATAATCCAGTAAGAAAAGGAAATCCCCTACCAGTATTTCATTTGAGCTACAGAAAAATAAAAAATATTTTTTGTTAAAAAAGGAGACCTCAAAAATGAAGTAAGAACAGAACACAATGGAAAGTGGAAATCAAAGGGCTAAAGAAATGAGAAGGGAAAAAACGGACTTAACTAGTAACTATCAAGAAACAAAACAGACATAGGTAAACATAAAATTACTGATGAAAAAAGGCTTGGGATAATTACTATAAATTCAGGTCAAGATGGAGAAACCATGACCAGACTTATCCTCCTGACTTAAACAATGGAAAAAATAAGTTTTTCAGACAATGAACAACAGGCAATGTAAAGCCAGCAATTTCTAAGAGGAGACAATGTGAGCCCTATGACTGGCCCTTATTTTATTGATTAATTGATTGATTTACACAGTCTCCTTCTGTCACCCAGGCTGGAGTGCAGTGGTGCGATCTCAGCTCACTGCAACCTTCCCCCACCCACTCCGGGTTCAAGGGATTTTCCTGCCTCAGCCTCCTGAGTAGCTGGGATTGCAGGCGTGCACCACCACACCCGGCTAATTTTTGTATTTTTTTGTAGTTTTAGTAGACAGGGTTTCACCATGTTGGCCAGGCTGGTCTCCTGACCTCAGGTGATCCGCCTACCTCGGCCTCCCAAAGTGCTGGGATTACAGGTGTGGCCCACCGCGCCCAGCCAAGTGGCCCTTATTTCTGCCTAGGGAGAATGTTCACTGCAGGGAGGGTCTGAGAATTTTACCACCCAGAGGTGAAAAACTTTGTAATCCATGAGGCATTGGGTAAAGATATCAGAAGGCAATTAATACTGGAGAAAAATCAGCCATCAAACTAAAGGCTGCACTAGTTGCACTTAACGAAACCTAAAGGCAAATAAAAAGATCACACTGTCTCTAAGTAAAATCACCCAAGTCAAAGATAAAAGCCCAAGAATATTTTTTTGAAAATAAAAGTATATCCAGCGCTGATCAAGGAAAAATTTACACTGGAAAGCTAACAAAAAATTAGCAGGCATGCAAAAACCAGAAAAATACAACCTATAATGAGGATCAATCAGTCAATATCAACCTGGAAATGATATAGATAACTGAGTTCATTTATAAATAGGGCATTGTAGTATTACTGTTAAGTATATATCACATGCTCAAGGAAGTAGAGGAAAACTTGATAATGTTACGGACAGACATGGAAGATAATTTAAAATTAAGACCCATATCATACTTCTCCAGATGATAAAATAAGCCCCCTAAATATTGACAAGACAGAAGAAAAGATTAATAATGAACCTGAAGACATAAGAAAATAAATGATCCAAAATGAAAGAGAGATAAAAATAAGAAAAGGATCAGAACATTGTGAGACAACTTTAAATAGCCTAATATAAGTGAAATTAGAGTCCCTGAAATGAACTTCAATTGGAGAGAAGTGACACAAAGGTGCTTCTGAGGAAGTAATTGCCCAAATTTTTCCAAATTTATGAAAACGATAAACTCACAGATCCAGGAAACTCAACAAAGCCCTAGCAAAATAAACATGAAAACCACACCAAGTCACATCATAATCAAATTACTTAAAAAAGTAATAATCAGAAAAATCTTAAAAGTAGGCAGAAAAATAAAATGTACATTATAAACTGAGGAACAAAGAAATAAATCACACTTCTAGTAAGAAACGGTTCAAGCCTAAAATCAGTACCGAAAGAAAAAAATATGTAAACATAGAATTTTGTACGCATATTCTCACTGATAGGTGTGAATTGAACAGTGAGATCACATGGACACAGGAAGGGGAATATCATACTCTGGGGACTGTGGTGGGGTTGGGGGAGGGGGGAGGGATAGCATTGGGAGATATACCTAATGCTAGATGACGAGTTAGTGGGTGCAGCGCACCAGCATGGCACATGTATACATATGTAACTAACCTGCACAATGTGCACATGTACCCTAAAACTTAAAGTATAATAAAAAAAAAAAAGAATTTTATACTCAGTGAAAATATCTTCCAAAAATTAAGGCAAAATAAAGACATTTTCAGGAATAGAAAAGACAAAATAATCCAAACAAGCAGAATTAAACTACCAGAAATGTTGAAGGAAATCCTCCAAGAAAGAAAATTATACCAGAGAGAAATTTGGATTTGCATACAAAGGAATATGAAAGAGACATATTCTTCTTATTTAAAAAAATGGGCCAGAATTACAGAGACTAAATCCAAAGACATCATAAGAAAATAATAGACCGATATCCCTCATAAACATACACAAAAAAATTCTTAATGATATTTTAGCAAGTCAAAAACAGCAATATGAAAGTATATAAAAAGGATAATATATTGCCACCAGGTAGAGTTTAGCCTGGAAAAGCAAGGCTGGTTCCACTTTTAAAAATCAACCAATGACCTCTACTGTATAAACAGACTAAAGAAAAAAAACAAGGTCATCTCAATAGATACAGAAAAACCATTTGACAAAATTCAATACCTATTCATGATATAAACTGTCAGCAAAGAATAGAAGATAACATCCTTAACTTGATAAATGGCATTTACAAATACCTATAGCTCTCACCCATAATTAATGACGAAAGTCTGAATGCTTTCCCTGTAAGACATCAAACAAGGCAAAATACCTCTCTCACCATTTGAATTCAACTTCACACTGGAGGTCCCAGCCAATATAATGAGGCAAGAAAGAAAATAAAACATAAAAATTGGAATGGAAGACACGAAACTGCCCTCTTCACATATAACACAACTGTCTATATAGAAAATCCCAAAGAGGGCCATACACCATGGCTCACACCTGTAATCCCAGCAATTTGGGAAGCTGAGGCAGGAGGACCATTTGAGCCTAGGAGTTCAAGGAGTTCAATGATAGCGCCACTGCACTCGAGTCTGGATGACAACAAAACAAAACAAATAAAAACAATAAAAATACCCCACAAAGAACCTACAAAAATGCAACTAGAACTAACTCATCGGTTTAATAAGGTCACATGATAAAAAGTCAATATACACAATCATGTTTCTACGTATTAGTAATAACTGAAAACAAAAAGAAAATAGTTATAAATCTAACAAAACATAGACAAGATCTCAAATAATGAAAACTACAAAACATTGGTGAAAGAAATCAAAGACCTAAATGAATGGCAAAATATACAGAGTTCATAGTTGGAAGACAATTATTTTCAAGATATCAGGTCTTTCCAAACTTATCTATAGATTCAGCCCAATTCCAATCACAATCCCAACATCAGATTTACAGAAATAAACTAGCTGAACAGGCAAAAAACACCAGAATAGCTCAAACAAGTCTGAAAAAAGAACAAAGTTAAAAGACACACTACCTGATTTCAAGACTAGCATTAAAGTGACAGTAATTAAAACAGAGTGATATAGGGAAAAGGGTGGACACACTAAGTAGAACACAATAAAGTTCAGAAATAGATTCATGCAAATATAATCAAAGGATTTTTGACAAAGATACCAAAGCAATTCACTATGGAAAGGATAATCTTTTTAACAGATGTTGCTGAAATAATTGGATATTCATACATTTTTTAGAAAGTTAACCTTAAGCCATAATCAAACCATATATGAGAATTAAGATTTCCTAGATACCATATAAAAAACAGGACTCACAAAAGAAAAACAAATGAATTGGGCTTCATCAAAATTAAGAACTTTTGCTCTTTGAAACACACTGCTGAGAATGAAAAAGCAAGCCATAAACTTGAAAATACTTGCAAGTGAGGTACATGATAAATCATCGGCATCCAGAATATAAAAAGAACTCTAAAAACTCAGTGATAAGAAAACAAACAACTCAATTAAAAATGGGCAAAATATTTAAACAGATACTTTAATAAAAGGCATATAGACAGCAAATAAGCAAAGAAAAAGTGCTCAATATCATTATTAGGGAAATGTACATTAAAATCAGAGATACTACTGCATGCATATTAGAACGGCTAAAATGAAATAAACTGATGATACCAACTACTGACAAGAATGCAGAGCAACTAGAACTCTCTTACTTTGGTGGCGGGAATGAAAAATGGTACAACCATTTTGGAAACCAGTTTGACTGTTTCTTATTTTTAAATCAAACATGCACTTACTGTATGAATAAGCAAATCCACACTCAGATATTTATTCAAGTGAAATAAGAACTTATAATTACACAAAAAAACCTTGATGGGAATGCTTATAGCTACTTTATTTGTAATCATCAAAACCTAGAAAGGCTCCTCAAATGGTGAATGGATAAATTGTGGTACATCCAAACAAAAACAATATTCAACAATAAAAACATACGGAGAATGAAACTCATTATGTGCTAAGTAAAAGAAGCCAGACTCAAAGACTATATATTGTAGGATTCCATTAATATGACACTCTAGAAAGGCAAAATCCTAAAGACAGAAAATAGGGGTTGCCAAGGACAGGACAGTGCAATTTTTTAGGATGATCGATGTTCCAAAACGGTTACACGACTAGAGATGCATTTGTCAAAACTCATGGAACTGTATATTACAAAGAGTAAATTCTACTGTATGTAAATTATACCTTAACTAAAAAAAGTCCTTAAAATAGAGAATCCTCTAAATAAATGAATTAAAGGATATTCACAGATCTAATATAAGAAAAATTCCTTAGATGGAAAAATAATCTGTGCATCAAAAGAGCACACTACTTTTTGAGAAGGGGAAAAAAAGTGATAAAAGATTTAAACTCAGACTTATCTGGTTATTTAATTTCTAAGATAAACAAAAACTCTTCAGCTACTCAGGCAGAGGAAACAAACCACCTATGCACGTGCAGAGGGACGGTGTGGAAACCAGGCTGATATAAGACAGAATACGAAAGAGAAATAACTACAAAGTTCTGAAGGAAATTCGTATACTATATTATACCAGTCCAAAATGTCTCTCAAGAATTTAGCAGGCACTTTCAAAAACCAAAGAACTTAGAGATTCCGGCACCAATAAATCCTTTTTGAAAAATCTACTGATGACAAAATGTGGTCAATTAGGAGATGACATTAAAATAAAAAATTAGAGCAAAGCAATGGTAAGCCAAGGACTGGTAGAGAGCTTTGCATCCACTTAAGTTTAGAGCACTGGTTCTCAAACTGTAACAACTACCAGAATTACCTGGAGGGCTTATTAAAACATAGAATGCCCCCAGTCAATGTTTCTAGGGTATAAGATAATGGCAACATAAAAATAATAGTACAAAGTGCTTCTAGTTAAAGATGGCAGACTGAATATATTAATTTACCTATGTTCACTCTAGAAATCCCAATAAAATAAAAAATAAAGGTTTGGGGTTTTTTTTCTTTAAAAAAGAAAGAATAAAATGTAAAAGTCAAAAAGAACTAGATCTTTTGTTCTAGTTCTTTTGTTTTGTTCTTCCCAGAACAAATCTAGGAAGTAGAAACTACGAAGTAGTAACAACCTTAACAGAGAAAGCTGAATTCTAAGTTATCAAAGGAAAAAGTTAACGAGCAACACAATTCATTTGGCAGAATCCCCAAATAGTTCAGGAACTGGTGGCACCAGGAGTCTCTGTAAGTGACACTAAAGGTATAGTAAAAATAGATGATTGGTTGAATGTCTTTCCAAAGAGCAGTTAAGACTCCCAGATTTCATTCCATTTCTTGCACTAGTCACCTGAAAGAATAAAACATGAGGTTTGACAGGGAAACACCAAGTAGAGTTGACAGAAGGGGTTCCATACTAAAAACATAAAATTAAGTCAAATTTTATGTACTGAATGTGAAGAACCTCATCATTCTTTCCGTCACTTGCCTTCCAGAATGCAGGTATATTCCCCAGGTTGGAGACTGGAAGTGTACCCTGGATCTATCAATAGCCCTAGATAAATATCTGCATTAGGCTTCCACAATAAACTGGTTGAGCCAGATCACTTCACGGTAGTCACAGCTGACAAGTCCTACACCAAGCTCTTGAGTGTCCCACTCCTAAATATGAACAAATAGCTACTGACCACTGAATACTCCGGAAAACACTAAGATCAATGAAAGTGGGAGGAGTGGATAGGAGAAACTTGAAAAGAAATTATAGGCAGACATAAAAGCATAAAAAATTTGGTATTTTTAATATACTTACAGAGTATATTAATAAACTATATAGTACAGGGTATATCATAAAGATAAAAATAAAGATTTTTTTAAAAAGGGAGAAAGCTTGCTTCCATGAAACAACCACAGGATGCTATAAAAATGGAACAGAGGCCAGGAACGGTGGCTCACACCTGTAATCCCAGCACTTTGGGAGGCTGAGGCTGGCAGATCACTTGAGGTCAGGAGTTCAAGACCAGCCTGGCCAACATGGTGAAACAGTCTCTACTAAAAATACAAAAATTACCCAGGGATGGTGTTGTGCACCTATAGTCCCAGCTACTCAGAAGGCTGAGGCATTTGAACTTGGGAGGCGGAATTGCTCGAACTTGGGAGGCGGAAGTTTCAGTGAGCCGAGATCACGCCACTACGCTCCATCCCGGGCAACAAAGCAAGACTAGGTGAAACAGAGAACAAAACAGACTCTTGGTAATTAAAAATGTTACAGCAGAGGTTTTTGTTGTTGTTTGTTTTTTGAGACAGAGTCTCACTCTGTCGTCCAGGCTGGAATGTAGGCTTTACTAGAGTGCAGTGGCATGATTACAGCTCACTGAAGCCACAACCTCCCTGGGTTTAGGTGATCCCCCCACCTCAGCCTCTACAGAAGCTGAGATCACAGATACGCTGGGTGTAGCTGGGACCATAAGCACGCACCACCACGCCTGGCTAATTTTTTTGTATTTTTTGTATAGACAGTGTTTTGCCATGTTGCCAAGGCCTGAGCTCAAGTGATCTGCCTACCTTGGCCTCCCAAAGTGCTAAGATTATAGGTGTGAGCACACTGCCCCTATAGCAGAGGTTTAAAAATTCAACAGAAGTCCAATCAGTCAATAAAAAAATTTAAAAAATAAAATTCAACGGAAGTTCTGAAAACAATCAAGGAAATTTCTCAGAAAGCCGTGCAAAAAGCCAATGAGATGGAAAGCAGAAAGGAAGAAACCTAGAGTTTCAGTCCAGGAAGCATAATATGTGAATAACAGAAAGACAATGTAGAAAATACAGGTGAGAAAATTAAAGAATTCAAGAAATGTAATTAACTGGTGGAGAAGTGAAGGATGGAAAGGTCATACAGAAAAAGTTTCTAAAATGACTTCAGAATACCCAGCAGCAAGACTACAAGTCTACAAAGGAGCATCAAAATTCTGAGGGAAAATGACTTCCAATCTAGACTTCTATGACCAAAGTGTACCTCCTATGTGGTTCTGTCAAGGAGCATTATACCAAAACATGGTCGTCAACCAAATGAATACAAGCAATGAAGAAAAAAAGGGTTTCAACCTAAGAGAGAGGAAATGTACATCCTCATTAGAGGATAAAGTGAGATCCAGGATGAAAACAGTTGACTATAGACTAGAGCAGGTCAGAAGATTCTGGGAGAGATAACCTCCAAGGTTCGATCAATCATGACATGTATCTGAACTTAGAGATGCATACAGCTGGGGAAAAGTCTGAGGTTAAATAATTTAAATACACTGAAAATAGGCTGGGTGCGGTGGCTCACACCTATAATCCCAGCACTTCGGGAGGCCAAGGCAGGTGGATCACTTGAGGCTAGGAGTTCTGAGACCAGCCTGGCCAACATGACAAAACACCATCTCTACTAAAAATATAAAAATTAGCTGGGTGTGGTGGCACATGCCTGTAATCCCAGCTACTCAGGAGGCTGAGGCAAGCGAATCACTTGAACCCGGAAGGTTCAAAGTCGCAGTGAGCTGAGATCGCGCCACTGCACTCCAGCCTGGGCAATGCAGTGAGATTCTGTCAAAAAAAGAAAAGAAAGCAAACCAATGAACAAAAAATGTTGTGCATGAAAGGAAAAGTCATTGCATATTTAGTACAAGGCTGACCTATGAAGAGCATTACACAAATAAAGAACTAACATGTAAGTGCTTGCTACAGCTTTACATATATAAACTTATTTAAATAGTCACAATAATGTTCATTTACCAAAATTATTTAGTATTATGGAAAGCTATGGGGACATCAATGTGTGTGTGTGATTTTGGTGGGGGTAGGGATGAGGGCCAGTTGAAATCAAGGGATGACTGCTAAATCTTCGTCTTCCATAGTTAGAAGACAATGTCTAAAACAAATAAACAAAATCAAGAATACACTATATGTATGTTAATTAGAAATACGGCAATAAATACCAAAAGAAATACTGTCTCCAAAGGGAGGAAATGGGAGTGGTATACTATTTTTCTTAAGCGCATAGAGAAGTATGTACATACAGAATTATGAATTAAAAAATTTAAAAATGATACAATTAATTAAACCTGGGAACTAGGGGAATGGGTGAATATTGATTTGTTCCACCTTTCAGAGAAGTGAATCTAAAATTAAAATGTCCTTAAAAAGTTACTCCAACTTCAATGTCTTATACAATGTTTTTCTTAAACTTAAACCAGACTTTCTTAACCATGTTGTTATTGCTATTTTGGGCTGAATAATTATTTGTTGTTGGGGGCTATCCTATACATTGTAGATTTAGCAGCATCCTTGTCCTCTACCAACTAACTAGATGCTAGTGGCACGCCTCACCCCAGGTTGTGACAATGAAAAATGTCTGCAGATATTGCCAAATGCCCACTGGGGAGCAAAACTGTGTCCAGTTGAAAATCACTGCTATGGAAACACCTCCTTAGAAGAATCTTTTTAAGAAACTCTCCTGACAAATGTTAACATTTAAGAATTACTTTTTTTTTTGTTAAATTCAAGAAACATTAAATTCAATGCTTTGCTTAAAAATATGTTTAAGATGCTGCCATTCCTAAGAATATATTTTTGTCTATTCATCCACCCATGTGTATACAAATACACAATGCACCCATGCATTGAGAGAGAAGGAAGATTTTGGGGGGACATTTTTATTTAATTTCTACTCTGCATTGCTTGACCATTCATAGCAACTATAAATCATTTCTATAAAACAAGTCACTGTATTAACAAAAATTTAGGAGGTTGGCAAAAAATACGCACTCAGTAATCACTAGTTCTTAACGACTTAACTAAACTAAATATCTTGATAGGTATTGTATATAAGGCTCACCCATTCAAAAAAAAAATCAATTCTGTCTACTCACTAATACCAATGTTGAGACTGGGATGGGGAAAAGCATGTAAGTAGGTATTAGTGATTGGTAATGTTATAGTTATAGGATTAGTTGGTATGATGTTTATAATGTTTAAAGTAATTAACAATCAAAAAAAGAGACAACCATGCATGAATAAAAAATTATACTGCCATGAACCAAGGATTATGATCAATCTAATTCTAGGTCTCTTAGCAGCAAACAAAAAGTGAACAATTTAACACTCCAATTTCTGCTCAGTGGTATTACACATAATTTGTCTCTTTATAGTTCAGACATTTTCTACAATTATTTTATAAATAAGGAAAAAACTTTTACTAAATTTGATTAAGCCTGCAGAAACTTGTACTAATTAAGAATGAGGTTGGTTTGTTTTTAATTCTGGCTTACCTGATCTAATTTAATGATTTGAATGTTACTTTTTTTTTGTTCTGTTTTTTGTTTTTGTTTTTTTTTTTTTTGACACAGAGTCTCACTCTGTTGCCCAGGCTGGAGTGCAGTGGCGCCATCTTGGCTCACTGCAGCCTCCGCCTCCTGGGCTTAAGAGATTCTCCTGCCTCAGCCACCCGAGTGGGATTACAGGTGTGCGCCACCACATCCGGCTGATTTTTGTTTTTTTGTTTTGTTTTGTTTTGTTTTCTGAGATGGAGTCTTGCTCTGTTGCCCAGGCTGGAGTGCAGTGGCATGATCTCAGCTCACTGCAACCTCCGTCTCCCAGTTCAAGCAATTCTCCTGCCTCAGCCTCCCGAGTAGCTGGGACTACAGGCATGTGCCACCATACCCAGCTATTTTTTTTTGTATTTTTAGTAGAGACGGGGTTTCACCATATTGACCAGGCGGTCTCCCACTCCTGACATCAAGTGATCCATCCACCTCATCCTCCCAAGTGCTGGGATTACAGGCGTGAGCCACTGCAGCAGGCTCTGAGTGTTACTTTTGAAAAGCTGAATAAATTTTAATTTCATCAAAACCTCTAAGTAAATGAGCACATTAACTGTTAAGAATGTGGAAGAGATGGTCCCCTTCAATGACTATTGGCCTGCAGTAAAATCAAACAATTAATGAATAGAGACAGAGGCACAAGGAAGAAAAGGGAAAAAGATTACTGAAACTGCAAACAATAAAATAAATTCCAAACTGAGCACGGTAGCACCTGCCTGTAGTACCAGCTACCTGGGAGGCTGAGGTTACACTTAAGCCCAGCAGTTCCAGGCTGCAGTTCACTACGACCATCCCCTGCACTTCAGCCCGGCCAATACACTTAGACCCCCATCTCTAAAAAACTGCCTCACTGCTTCTACCTTTTTAATGTACTTCGCTATTAACACAGAAACTAAAAGGCAGGGTCAATTTTATCACGGACATTCTTCTAATCAATAAAGGTGGCGATCTATTTTGTAAAAGGGAAAACATGTATCTCATCTTTTAAATCTCTATTATATACAAAAAACTACAGCACGCCCACTTCATAACTGGACAAGATACGACATTACAAATTGAATTGCATAACATCTTCCAATAAAAAACCGATGAAAACAATCTTATATGATAATCAATTATCAGTTTTCAAAACTGTTTATCACACTAAATATGCCTCTTTTGTATAAAAGTCAATAATTAAACTCTCTAATATCTTGAGATAAAATATTCCAGGCTTCCGTGCAAGAAGAAATACCATATAATCAAAAGAACAGACTGGCTGGAGTAACAATCCCCACATTATTATTTGATTAAAATTCAACATTTTTAGTTCAAGACATATCAAAACCTTTAAGAGTATATATAACGGAATCATTTGGGAAGTCAGAAAAGCAATTGTTAGAAACAGAATTAACAAATTCCAGACTAAAGAAAAGTGATTTGAGTCCAAATACCTCGCCTAAAATTACAAATATCTTTATTAACTGCACTGCCAATGTTTTGCCTACTATTTTGGAGGGGGCAGAGATTATCTTAAATAAACTGAAATTTGTGCCACACGGACCAAAGTCTTGCCACTATACTGAAAATAGTTTTACTCTAACAACTCTTTAATGAAAATGCAATGTACAGCTAATTAAGCATGAAATTTCAGATGACACACGCATGTTTTGTGCCTAAAGACAAAATTGTCATTAGGCACAAGGCATGCGTGTGTCATCTGAAATTTCAATTTTAAGTTGAAATCTGAAATTGACACTTCAAACAGTTACGGCAGAGCTATGACTATTTGTTTCAAAAACAATATTACTACATTAGCATTACTGCCAGGCGGTTCCAAATGACGACAGGCACTTTTTAATCATAATCTGCGCCACTGAACAAAGAGGGCGACATGAATCCAGGAACGACAGTGCGGCAGTCTGAGGTCGCCAGGAAAGAGATGACAACAGAGTGGGTACCCCACCGAAGGAAAGGGGCAAAGACCTTTGTAGAGATGGCCTGCGCAGATACAAACAAAACCACGAAAAGGGACCTCAAAGAATGGGAGACAGCGTTCACGAAGCAGGGGTGGGGGAGGGGCCCTATTCTAGTTCTCTTCCTCAATTTGAGTCATCTTCCCATCGCCACTAAACCTTACGGCCAGTGATCAGTTCTTCGCAAGACCCAAAGCTCTGAAGCTGAGTCTGAGTGACGAGAGGAGACGGGAAGAAAACGGGGACAGAGAGGGCACTCCCTGTTGGGTGGGGCACCACATTCCCGCCGGGCTCACCCAGCCCCGGCTCGGATCGCCTTCTCTTTGGTCTCTCACACTAGCACCCCAGAGGCCGCAAAAAGCACCTTACCCAGCTCGCCATGGAGCACAGCCCCAGGACGCTCCCCATCTCCACAACGTCACAAGAGCAGCGGATACAGACAAGATGGAGACAGCTTCTTTCTCGCCTTTCCGAGATTATTTACTATCTGCGAGACACTTCCGGACGCACAGCGCAACCCGCCCCTCAGCCTCGCGTCACTTCCTTCCAGGCCTGGGTAGGATAAAACACGGAGCGCGCAGCGCTGAGACTGCGCATGCGCGTCACTAGACGACACGGCTGTCTTCTTTCCTGGAGAATTTCTCAAGGACTGCTGGCTGGAAACTTAACGGCTAATGTGGATCTGACCGTAGTTTGCCAAATTAAGAAAACGGTGTGAGCAAAACCCACCTTTACCTACCATGCACTTGCATTTGGGCATTAGTAGAGAACAGAGCTGAGGTGGTGGTTGACGTTTTGCCCTCCTTCATCTGAGGAACCTCTCTGCTTTTTAGGGGATTGCTTCCTCTTTCTCAGTCTTTGTCCGTCCTAACTCCACTTATTTCCCATTTTTCCCACGTTTGCATCCTGTTTTGCTCTTGCGTTTGCAACGTATTCCTGCAGCCCGCTGCCCGGAACAAGTTTTATTGGGATATTTATATTCATCTGTGTGCTTCAGTTTCTCTGTATCATTTCTGTTTGCTATTGACTTATATTTTAATTTCTTATGCTATTAAGATGTTACAAGAAATTTGCACGTTAAAATTATTTTTAATTAGTTAGATAAGACATTATCAAACTCAAACATTGATTTCGAATGTCATGAGCTGTTGAGGCATGTGGAACCCTTGCATATTAGGTGATGATGCACATCTGCAGGGAATGCATTCCTATAAAAGTTCCAGTTATTTTTTTAGAGTTATTTGTTCTTGAAAATATTCTGGGAAACAGCTCAAACTTGAAATAGTCATTCCCATAACTAATAATAAGAAAGTGTTGTAAAATCTACAAAAATTGCATGGGTCGAGGTGGGGTAAACACCTAAGAATCTGGAAGAATGTCAGAATCCCTACTCCTAGTTATTGTAACCACTAAGGGACAATCTTGCTTTATTCTTCTTTGCCTTATCTGTGGTTTTGTAGACCACTCTTAAAGCAAAGTATTATAATAGAGCATCCATAAGGTTTAAAGAATTGTGGAAATGCTTGTAATCCCAGAACTTTGGGAGGCTGAGGCAGGCGGGTCACAAGGCCAGGAGTTCAAGACCAGCCTGGCCAGCATGGTGAAACCCCATCTCTACTAAAAATACAAAAAATTAGCCGGGCATGGTGGCACGCGCATGTAATCCCAGCTACTCGGGAGGCGAGGCAGGAGAACTGCTTGAACCCGGGAGGCAGAGGTTGCAGTGAGCCGAGATTGGGCCACTGCACTCCAGCCTGGGCTGCAGAGCGAGACTCCGTCTCAAAAAAAAAGAATAGTGGAAATGGAAATTACAAACCTAACAATATTTTTAATTATGCTAAACTTAATACGTTATTTATGGGAGAAGAGAATCCTAGTATCTCAAGTCCTTAAACTTTTCAAAGTACCAGAGAAGGAGACAAAAAACACTTATATGTGAGTAACTTTAAGGTCGTAAAGAATATGTTTATTAGCCAAATGGAGAATGGGTCTCTTAAAATTTAAATTTGCACAGATTCTTGTCTCTTGCTCCATTTAAGAGGGTTTCTGAGATATTCATAAGTTCTTGCACTATTCAATAGAGTTTTTTCACCTGAGATATTCAGAGTTAAATACAAAAGTCATATTAATCTTTCTGGAATGTAACACTTGGCCTTGAAATACATTAAAAAAAATTTACTTTTATTTAACCTGTAGGCTATGTGGAGTGGAATTTGCTCACTTAAGTTATTATATATACAACATTAATTGGACACGACAGTATATATAGACTATTTTATTCGTTAGAAGAGTCTTCGACACCAGTCTCATTTTTCTCTTTGCCAACTATGAAAGAAAATTGAAATGATGACTTTTTCAAATTTCAACCCAAACACAGCTCAAAGCATAGTTTTCTCAATATATACCAGCTATTAGTAGGAGCACCCATTTCTCCAGGTGACTTCCTGTAGCACACGTATAACTTACAATGCCAAAATTCAAATTAGTCTAAGTAAGTACGTTAGTAAAAAACATTCTATCTAGCTGAGCATGGTGGCTCACACCCATTATCTTAGCACTTTAGGTGGCTGAGGCGGGCAGATCACCTGAGGTCAGGAGTTCCAGACCAGCCTGGCCAACATGGCGAAAACCTGTCTCTACTAAAAATACAAAAATTAGCAGGGCATGGTGGCACACCTCTGTAATCCCAGCTACTCAGGAGGCTGAGGCTGGAGAATTGCTTGAACCCAGGAGGCAGAGGTTGCAGTGAGCTGGGATCGTGCCACTGCACTCCGGCCTAGGTGATAAGAGCAAAACTCTGTCTCAAAACAAACAAACAAACAAAAAAGCCATGCTATCTAATAACTCAGTTCTCTGACTTGATTAAGGGCTAGTATGCCAAAAAACAAAAAAATTGGAATATTGATTTTTTTGAGAATGTTACTAAGTAGCCATGCTGGAAGAAGTTTTCAGATAAGCTTGGATGGTACTGCCTGTTACATTCTTCTCTTGTGACTGATGTTGCATATTAGCATGTTCAATTCCTTCACTCCTAATGTTTTCTAAACTTGACCTTAAAAAATCTTTTTTTCTTATGAAATGTATTAATATGCACTGTAAGTGTTCCATGAAATATAGTTTAAGAAATACTGATGGAGGGAAGGATGGACTTCATAGCCTTCTGGCAGCCCTCCTAGAATATCTTTTCTCATAATTAAACTTTTGATCCATATGTGGCATCAGAGAGCTGAAGGTTATGTTTGTTGTCAAGAATCAGAGCATGAATGCTCTGTGTTGTCAATTAAGGACAAGACATAGACTTTAACATTCAAATAAATGGTATGTAAAATTAATAGTCTCTTAGGGAAATTCAGGAGAAAGACCAAAATACTTGTCAGAATAGACATGCACAGAAATGGGCTGGGAGATCTGTGGAGTACTATAGACAGGCTTAAGGTTTTCCTTAGAAGATAGTCCAGGTTCATTCTTACATATAGGTAAATGAATTCTCCCAGATAAACTATAGTTGTGACTATTGTACCCTGAGAAAAATGTAAAGCAGGATTACGAAGCTTATCCTAGCCATAGTAAAAATTTCAATAATGGATTCACAAAAATCAATATTAACCAATGTAATTTCAGAATGATTTAGGTACAAAATTTAGGTTTATGTAAGTCACTCTCAAATATAGATTTGTCAGTTATCAGTCATTTTGGTTTGTTGTTGTTCTTGTTATTGTTTTGAGACGTAGGCTTGCTCTATTGCCCAGGCTGGAGTTCAGTGGCCTGATCTCGGCTCACTGCAACCTCCACCTCCCAAATTCCAGCGATTCTCCTGCAACCGCTGCCTGGAGTGCAGTGGCCTGATCTCAGCTCACTGCAACCTCAGCCTCCTGAGGAGCTGGGATTACAGGCGTGTACCAAAACGCCTGGCCCATTGAATTTTTGAGAGAATACTAAAAATAATAATTTTATTTTCAGAAACCACATCTTCAGCATAAAGGAAAATAAATGTCAATAACCCTTCGCCACCTCTTGTAATTCCTGTTGAAATCCATAAGGTTATGCTGGGTGCAGTGACTCACATCTTATTTCCAACACTCCAGAGACTGAGGCAGGAGGATAGCTTGATCACAGGAGTTAGAGACCAACCTAGGCAACATAGTGAGACTTCATCTCTATAAAAGTAAAAATAGGCCGGGTGTGGTGGCTCACGCCTGTAATCCCAGCACTTTGGGAGCCTAAGGTGGGTGGATCACCTGAGGTCAGGAGTTTGAGAGCAGCCTGGCCAACATGGTGAAACCCTGTCTCTACTAAAAATACAAAAATTAGCTCGGTGTGGTGGCATGCGTCTGTAGTCCCAGCTACTCAAGAGGCCGAGGCAGGAGAATTGCTCGAACCTGGGAGGCAGAGGTTGCAGTGAGCTGAGATCACGCCACTGCACTCCAGCCTGGGTGACAGAGTGAGACTCTGTCTCAAAAAAAACAAGTAAAAATAAATAATCAATCCATAAGGATATGGTTTAGAATCATGTATATCACATTAAAAATTCCCAGTGTAACCTAGAATCAGTGTGTCTCCATCAAGGTTGACTAAAATTAGACTCATCTTTGGTCCCATAATCCTTCCTGCCTTTACACAAATCTCTGTATAAACTTTATTTTTTATCCTAATAAATGATCTATATCTCTGAAATATTGTGAGAGTGGAACAGATTTTAAGGAAAATAATCAGGTCATATTTTTCTGGAAATTAGAAATTATACTGCTTAGTTCTCTTGTCCTTAGTACATCAACACTAAATATAATGAGGACTGAAACATCTTGGCCCCCCCACAGTAGTTAAAGGATGAATAAAATTTGTGCATAGTTTGTTATATAATCCAAGGAGAGCAAAAATATAAAAAGTATTTTATGGCTTTTATCCTAAATTAGTTATATCTTAAATGTAAACATGTTTAAGTATTTCACAGATATTCTGAAAGGATAAGCCAAAAATAGATTAGGACACAGTAACCCATAGGGGTCAGTATAAACTTAGAATTGGAAGAGACCATATTCTGATTAAAGACATGCTTTTATCTGTTAAGACACACATTGATAGTTTTGGAAAATAATTCAAAACTAAGATACAGTGTCAAATGTACAAAAACTCTCTTCAATTATGGTCTTAATGTTAAAACAGCAAATGAACAATATTCTTTCCACACAGATTTTCTTATTTTGCTGAAATCTAAGCCTATAATTCCATAACAAGCAGATATGTTTATACCAGTGAAATAGATGTCTACAAAAATAAGTTTATTTCAGGCAGAACATACATAAATTCAGGAAAAAAGGAAATATTCACTGTGTAAATAATAAAGTGGATAGCAAATTCAAATATGTGTCTAATATTTAATGTACTATTTTATAATCATTGAGAAGGGAGTGACTTCTTGAAAAAGTGTAAATGACATTTCTAAAACATTTCACTTTTCAAGGGCAGATGTATTGACCTTGATAAAATAATGAAATTATATACTGAAGAAATTCTTCACATTCATTCACCCAAAACGTTATTTATTTGTGCTACAGAAAGGAATCAACTAGTTCGATTTGGCACTCATCAGATTTTTGAATTCTTATTAAACATGTTATTAAGGCAACGTCTAAATCAGCACCTTCCAATAGAAATGAAATGTGAATCACATTTGTAATTTAAAATTTTTTGTAGATGTATTAAAAGAAACGGATGAAATTAATTTTAAAGATGCATTTAATTGAACTCTATATCCAAAATATTTCAATGACATTAATATAAAAATTCTTAATAGAATGTTTTACATTATTTTTCATATAAGTCTTCAGAATCTGGTTGTGTTATATAATTAAGAGCACATCTCCATTTGGACCAGCATATTTCAAATGTCCAGTAGTCCCTATATTGGACAATGCAGGTCTGTAAGCTGAAGGAGAAAGTCGAGGCAATTATCCAGGTGATACAAGCTAAACAAGGAAGCAATCATATTTTTCTTTGTATAAGTTATTTAGATATTTCAGATAAAGTGGTTTTAAGCCTGTGCATTTGCTTTAGGTATTGAACCTAAATTGATTTCTTATATAAAAATCAGATATGAGAGATTTGTAAGAAGGATAAATGTTATATTCTGATAATCATTTAGGCTATCAAAGTACTATACTATATGATACTATATGAAATTTGCCAGATTTGACTTTATTTTCCAGTAATCCATATATTCCATTATGTTATTTTAGCCAATTTATCCTGATTTCTTTTTTATTCACCTGAATTTCTATGGCCTTAGCTGCTTTCTTTCCTCCAGAATTAATTGTAAGAATAGAATGATATCCAGAGGCCCTGACATTTTAAGTGGCCTGATCTCAAGCGACTTCAGACAGTGATTTTTTCTTCTTACCCAATTCTCTACACCTCACTCCACTGACTGTATTGTCCATTATTGCGTAAAACACTTTGGCAAATTCATACCTAAAGCTCTTTCTACTGAGTGATTAAGAACTTTGGGTACTTTTTCCTCACAGTTTTTACCCTGTTGAAGATTTGCTTTAACTTCAAAAGTGATGACAAGAAAGTATGGACACCCCTTCAGGACCAACCTGATAAGTCACTGGTAAGGTCTTAATTTCTCCATAAAGCTTCCTAATATTTTCTAGTATTAAGGTCTTCATATCCCGTAACCCGCTTTGCATCACCTGCAGAAATCCTAGGCTTAGCTGTTTGGTAGCATCTGGCTGTGTCATTTGTTCTATTATTTTTCGCAGGCTCCCACCTAGAGTCCTGTTATAGTGAAGGCTGGCTTCCACTAGTTTCCATTATTGCTTATGGGTCTGTCCCTTTCCTCCAGAAAAGTCCTATCTTTTTAAAGATGTAATGTCAGATGAAGCTTATGAGCCAACCACAGGCCATTTTTTTAATCGACATCTCCTGAAGGAAATTTTCTGCCTTAGCTGGCCTGACTTACTTGTATTTTGTGGCAGAATCCAGTCTTTCTAGGAATCATCCAGTTTTAAAAATCATCTCAGTGGTTGTAGAGCTGACAGCAGAATTCTCTCTACCTATTTTCTCCGCCATGGAGAAAGCATTCCCAGCATCATTTATACAAATGCTATGCACATTTCCACTTCCCAGCAATACTCATCCAGCAGTTTAGATGCCATGGGAGGGTACTCCATAGTTCAGTTCTATGGTATGCTTTGATACGGGCATGGCTGGACACTGCACATTGTTCAGCAATTCCAAATGGTAGTCTTTAGTAAGAGAAAAAACATAATTAGAGTCACTTAACATATTATGTGGCAGCGGGGGGTGGGGAAATATCCTTTAAGAAGTAGCTTTCACATACAAATGGAGTCCAAAATAGTGAACTTTTCCCATTGGATATTTATATGAATACAACCATGGATTAAATGCCAATAGGAGAAAGTGTTTTAGAGACATGCTTAAAATCTGGAGAAAGAAAACAAAAAACAAAAAAAACTCCTGCAGCCAGCTCAGTGTCTGCCCAAACAGCCACCCAGTTTTGTGCTTGAAACCCAGGGCCCTGGTGGCGTAGGCACTGGAGGGAATCTCCTGGTCAGTGGGTTGTGAAGACCGTGGGAAAAGCATAGTATCTGGGCTAGAATGCACCATTCTTCATGGCACAGTCCCTCACGGCTTCCCTTGGCTACCAGAGGGAGTTCCTCGACCCCTTGCACTTCCCGGGTGAGGTGATGCCCCACCCTGCTTCTGCTTGCCCTTCGTGGCTGCACCCACTGTCTAATCAGTCCCGATGAGATGAGCTGGGTACCTCAGTTGGAAATGGAGAAATCACCCACCTTCTACATTGAACTTGCTGAATGCTGCAGAGAGCTGTTCCTATTGGGCCATCTTGACTAATTGCAAGAATATTTTTAAGAGCCTTTCCAGGGCTTCTTGCTTTCTCTAGGCAGACTCTCAGAAGCTCTGTCCCAGACACATTAAAGCAGTAATAAGCAACTTAATATCTTAATCCTGCCCTGAGAAAGGTACTTCATACTTTATAGAGTTTTGAGGCACTAAGAATCAACAAAGGGGAAAAAAGTTCCTTATCCTAATTGAGTGGCCTAGGAAACAACATGTAGTATTATGACTATGTGTTTTAATTCTGTCAATTAGAACTCAAAATTTTCTTTTTAGTCAGATCAGTTCTATAGTTTTGATAAATATCACAAAACAGAAATGAGAGTACAATGCATTTACTCATGGGTGCTTAGACATCAGAAGTCTCATTATTTTCTTTGCCCTCTTTCCTAGCTGTTAATATAATGCTAAGATTAAGTTGACACATTGACTAGACTGTGATCTCTCTTTGCCCTCTGCTTTATTTAAAGATTTTCCTTTGGCGAGCAGTTATATATCAGGCACTCCCCAAACCCAACATCAGAGACACTCAAAATTGCCGTGAATATTCTAGTAGCAATCTCAAAAGTTTTAAGTTCTTTTGTATATAGATAGACTTGACACATTCTCTCAAAGCATATACTGTTTCTGGCTTTTCACTGTCTACAATGCCAGTGCCGGTATTGACTGTAAGAGCTTCCCATGGCATGAATAAACAGTGAAAAGGTCCAACAGAGCTTAAAGGTATATAGAAAAAATAATAGAAAGTTAAAAAAAGATTAAAGAAAACAATGAGTATATTTGTAGAAATAAGTGAGGTTAGTTCTATTTGATTTGTAGTGGCAACCATAGTCAATTTTTTTTTTTTTTTCTTGAGAGGGAGTCTCGCTCTGTCACCCAGGCTGGAGTACAGTGGTGCAATCTTGGCTCACTGCAAGCTCCGCCTCACAAGTTCATGTCATTCTCCTGCCTCAGCCTCCTGAGTAGCTGGGACTACAGGCGCCCGCCACCACGCCCGGCTAGTTTTTTGTATTTTTAGTAGAGACGGGGTTTCACCGTGTTAGCTGGGATGGTCTTGATCTCCTGACCTCATGATACACCCGCCTCGGCCTCCCAAAGTGCTGGGATTACAGGCTTGAGCCACCATGCCCGGCCTATAGTCAAATTTTTTAATAAAATTGCTAACCTACACTTAGTATATCCAATAACGAATGCACTATTTTGATTTTCAATTCTGATTTTATGCATGTTTGAGTAATCGATGCATACATATGTAATATTTTAATGTTAGTAATGATAAAGAACAACTACAATTTATTTAAATAATGCTTCAGGTACTTTTTCTATTCAAGTTATTTACTTAATCCAAAGGGAATAAATTTTTTGAAAATGTAGTAATAGTGATCCTGGAAAAATGTCATGTTCTATTTATATGCCTACAGTATTTACTCCATTTCTATCTCTTCCCTTTGATCTGTTTGATGGCTATGCCTGCCTTATATTTCTAAGAATTTTTTTTCAAACAATTTTTAGTGGGTTGTGGTGTTCATCTCCGTTTCTTACTGTACAAATACTTTTCTGTTAAATTTAAAGGTTACTCTCTAAAGCTTAGTAGGTGTGCTTTCATTTTCACACTGATAACTAAAATCCACATCATTACTAATCATAGACATGCATATGTGTTGATTATAAAGTGATATTGTACATACCACAAAATCAGAGATACAAAAATAATCTTTTGTTCTTTTTAAAAAACTTAATGTAGAAATATCATAAAATGAAGTTAAATTGAGTAAATCTTAAGACATCACTTAGTCAAGCTCCTTGCATCAAATCAAGCCCATGATTATATAAGTGTATAGAAAAGCCCACAAAAAATTAAAAAGAAAGCTTTTCAGTGGAAAACCTGACAGACACCTTATCCAAAAGATCAAAGTTTTAACATCACCAGTAATAGAACAAATAGGTTTCATGTGTCTTCTGATGTAATGCACTAAGGAGTGAGCACTATCACTCCTGAGGCATTTTTGCCAAAAACATATAAACGGGAATAAATCATGAAGAAATATCAGACAAACCCAAATTAAGGGACATTATGCAACATAAATGGCCTGTACTTTTCAAAATGTCTAGGTCATGAAAGAAAAGGACTAAGAAACTGCCCAGATTAAAGGAAACCAGAGACTTGACAACTAAATGCCACATGTAATCATGGATTAGATACTGGAGCAGAAATAACAATACTAATAAATAATTACTGTTACTGCTGTAAAGAACATTATTGAGACAATTAGCAAAATTTGAATGGGGCTTGTGAATTACAAAGCAGTATCATATCAAAACTGATTTTCTGTTTTTGATTGTTATAATGTGGTTATGTAGAAAAGTATTATATTTTTGAAAATGTACATTGTAGTATATGGGAGTAAAAAGGATCATGTTGGAAATTTATTCTCAAACGGTTTACAAAACAGTATGTATGTGTGTGTGTGTTTGTGTGTGTACATACACACACATTGTGTAAAGTAAACAAGATAAAATTTTAATATTTGGTGAATAGAGGTGAAAGATATATAGTAAATTTTGTACAGTGTTTGCAACTTTTCTGAAGTCAGAAATTAGTTCAAATTTTTTTTAAATATTGCTTTGGCTTCCTATTTTACCTGTAGTTAACTGTGTCAAAAATATGCTAATTATGTTATCAACACCCAGGGTTTTTGTAATCTCGCAATATTGAAATCAAGAGACATCACAGAACACAGCAGCAAAGGTAAGTTTTGTTTTTTTTTTTTGAGGCGGAGTCTCGCGGTAGCCCAGGCTGGAATGCAGTGGCGCGATCTCGGCTCACTGCAGGCTCCGCCCCTCTGGGGTTCACGCCATTCTCCTGCCTCAGCCTCGCGAGTAGCTGGGACTACAGGCGCCCGCCACCTCGCCTGGCTAATTTTTTGTATTTTTGGTAGAGACGGGGTTTCACCGTGTTAGCCAGGATGGTCTTGATCTCCTGACCTCGTGATCCGCCCGCCTCGGCCTCCCAAAGTGCTGGGATTACAGGCGTGAGCCACCGCGCCCCGGCAGCAAAGGTAAGTTTAATTTTATTCCAGCTTGTGCTCAAGGGAGCTAGCACTGAGAAAGGAAAAAGGAGTTGGCTGTTCCCTGAGGGTAGTGTGTGGGTTAATTTAATAGGCTCTTTTCATAGGGAAAGGTTATATTAGGGCATATATAGGACAGCTTTTTCTAGTGCTTGCACAGTAGCTCAACATGCTTCTCCATACATTACATGTAGCATTAGCATTTAAAATCTCCACCCTTGTGTGTGAATTTTAGCATTAAAATGAGGAAGAGATAACTTTAGGTTGGATTTTTTTTTTTTTTTTTTTTTTTGCAGATGGAGTCTTGCTCTGTCACCCAGGCTGGAGTGCAGTGGTGCGATCTCAGCTCACTGCAGCCTCCGCCTCCCGGGTTCAAGTGATTCTCCTGCCTCATCCTCCTGAGTAGCTGGGATTATAGGCATGCGCCACCACACCCGGCTAATTTTTGTATTTTTATTAGAGACGGGGTTTCACCAAGTTGGTCAGGCTGTTCTCGAACTCCTGACTTCGTGATCTGTCTTCCTTGCTCTCCCAGCGTGCTGGGATTACAGGTGTGAGCCACTGTGCCCGGCCACTTTAGGTTGGATTTAAAGTCCAACTGCACGTGCAAGGCTCTGGGGAAATCCCTACCCCGCTGAAATAGGAGCTTGCTGTTAAGTTTCTTGGGTCTCTTGTCACTGATTGGCTGAAAGTTAAATAAGCTAGTGTTTGAGTGAGGGGCTTTATCGTTTCCTTTAGACCATCTTAAAATAGGGACTCAACCAGCCTGCTTGTCTTAATCATATAAATTTATTTAAAATTATCTTAATAAACCAGAACGTGGAGACTATTTTTTTAAAAGAATTATTTGTCGAAGTATTACATTTTTAGTAAGTTATCTCTTTTTCTTCTGTAGCTTCCTCATTTTTAAATTTAAACCAGACAAAAAGTTTCAGTATACAGCATAAAGAACATTTGATGAAAATTTGATGGAAGTAATTTAAACAACTATAAATACATTAATTTATATCAATTTTTGATTATGGGAGAGTAATAATCCTTTATTACAAGTTGAAACATCCCCTGAATACATTAGAATGAATGCTACTGAAAACAGAAATAATTTTTACAATTATCTGCCACATATCATAATGCCTCAGACAAATTTTGTGTATGCATATAGAAGATGAAAAATTATTTCCTAATACACTCCTAGGTTTTCTGGTTAGAGTCCTCTAAATTAAATTGACAAAAGGCAGAAAAATAAGGGGAAAAAAACACAAAAGTTTATTAACATATGCATTGTGCATGTAACATATACCCAGAGATGAGTAACTCAAAGGTTTGGTTAGAACTTGGACTTATATAGGATTTCAGCAAAGAAACAATTTTTAGAAAAATGACAAGAGTCTCTAGGAGTGGCAGATTGTGCGAAGGCAAATATATGGGAAACTAGGTAAATAAAGGCTAGTTTGCAAAGTTTGTTATATACAGTCCTCTGATTCTGTCTGCAGGCTGTAAGGGTCTAAAGCTGTCTCTGGTAATTAAGTTTTGTCCTTCCTTGTAGAAAGCGGGGGACAACTTTGTAAATTTATGTCCTGCTTTTAGATGACAGAAGAACAGAGAGCTTTTCTTGTATCTTTTTCTTCTCAATTGCCTTCAGCACAAAGTAATCCTTGTGCCAAAGTGGAAAAGTTTGCTGTGGCATATTCTGCCACCCTACCATAGCTAGGATAGAATACATCTGTACGTGAAGGTCTTTGAGGGCAGAGGCCAGATTAATTTGTAGAGTTTTACTGCCATCACCTAACCTAGTGCTTGACATGGAGAAGGGGCTTGGTAAACAATTGAATGAATTAATGAATTTGGTTGTGCCTTCCATATTTTCCGCACAACACTCTTGAAGTAAATAAAGAAAAAAAAAGGAAAAAAGAAAAAAAAAACCACTCTTGCAGTAAATATATTCATATACTTTTAAATACTATTCTAAGGTCAAAAACACCTTTATCAAATATCTAAAAGCTAATGTGAAGAAAATTACATGAACACCAACCAAATTGTATAAAATAATTTCGTATGCTTGGTTTATGTACTTGTTTTGAAAAGTGGGATTTTGCCTTAGAAATCAGAGGCCACTTTACATCTTAACTGAGAATCATTTTCGTCAACTCTTGGAACAAGGACAATTGCAAGGAATAAATATGACTTAATTTTTGGAAGATGTATTCTGTGAAGAACTGTTATAGTAAGAGGAATTATTTATTCTTATAAAAAGAAGAATCTTGAAATAAAAAGGGGCAGTCCCAAAGTGAAGGGATCATTTTCAGTAGGTTTGCTATTTTCCTTATCAGAAATTCACAGCACACATTACTTTTTTAAGACTTTGACAAATACTGCCATAAATAAAATTATTTAATATTGTTTAATCCAATGTTTCTTAAATGTGTATGATCTCAAACCCTGAAACAAAACAACATATCACATCCCGTGGATCATCATTTAGGAAAACACTATTAAAATGTTAAAGCAAACTAAATATGGTCTGAGAAGGACTCCGTACTTCTATATTTGAGTCCTTGTGGATGAGCTGCAGCCTGACTTGATAGGTAGACAAGATTGAAAACCTAACTTAGGAGTATGCGCCAGAAACAATAGATGAGTTTTGGCCAATCCTAGCAGCAGAAGTTCAACCACTCTTACACTGCCTCGTGTTCAAACTGTGTTCAAATAAGGCAAATGCTGAGCTGTAATCAATCTAGTTGTTTCTGTACCTCACTTCCAATTTCTGTACTTCACTTCCCTTTTTTTGGCCTATAAATCTGCCACCATGTGGCTGCTCTAGAGTCTCTGAATATGCTGTGATTCTGGGGGCTGCCTGATTTGTGAATCGTGCCTTGCTCAATTAAACTCCTTTAAATTTAATTCAGCTGAAGTTTTTCTTTCAACAAAAATATTCTTTTTTTTTTTTTCCTGGAATGTGGTAGCTAGGTGGTCTGTATTTTTACTGAGAATAAAATGAGACAAAATGGAAAAACTGAATTAATCTATTACATGAGATATAAATAAGAGGCCTAAGTATTTATACATTGAAATTATTTCCCAAAGGAGAATTAGAATCTCACTGAAAATAGAAGAGCTAGTCATCTATAAAGTATTAATTTTGAAGGTTTAGGTTAAAATATTAGAACAAACTAATGTATCAAAGTGGCATCATTCTTTAGGTAAAAGATATGTCAGTGGTAAAAACAACATTAAATTTTCTGGAATAATTAGGCTTCAGGATAGCATCAGTCGTGTGTTACTGGAATACAGAAATCAGGATCTAAGGGAAGCACACGTGGTAAACAAAAATCACGTTTAATAACAAAGGAGAGTGGTTAACACATTTCCAATTCAAAACTAGAAGAGTAGAATCTAGTAAGGATGGCTAGTTTAATAGCAGAGCCATCAAAGGCAGTGTTAAAGCGGAAGGATGGTGGCAGAAATCATTAGCAGTCGAGTGCCTGAGTATTGAATGTTGCATCTGTTGAAGTCTTTATCATGAATTAGCAGTGACTGTGCTTTGGTAGCATGGTTGGATTCACTGTAACTTTTGGATTATTGCTGTATGTCTTGCCTTTTGTCTTTTTGCATGGAAGTAATTGTCACCAAAAATTGTCTCTCTTCTATTTTTTTGTCCCAAATTTACAACATATGTCTTTTCTTAGGAGAAATTTCTGGTGCCAGTTGATTGTTTCTTTCTAGAAATAACATATTCATAGACACATACACAAATGTGGCTAATTCATCACAAAATATACCCATGTAACCTCCACATTACCCCCCTGACTCTAAAATAAAAATAAAAACAAATGTAGCTGATAAATTGAATAGCCAAACTTAAAAATAAACTTTTTTTCTTTTAAATCCATCACTGTCCCTATTAAACTTGTGAGCCAGCTTCTTTCTGCAGAAATTGAAAAAGTCTTGAGTCCAGTTTCATCATTTCTGGTTGTTTCAGATGATAAAAAGTCCTCCAGTCATTTTATTCCCCCTAAACCAGTCGCAATTCAATTATTGTTATCTTTCTTTCAGAATAATAAGTATGGCATTTAAAAATATTATGCAATTATTTGTTCTCTTGTTTTGGTTTCTTTTTTGAGGATTCCAACCATAGTTGCTTGATCCACCCTCGTCTTCTATATTTATTATTTCATGTTTAATGCATTTTAAGTTTATTTCTGTTATACATTTTCATTTATAAGTTTCATCCTCTATGTTCCAATAGTATCTAACTTCCATTATGTTCCTTCTAATTTCATTTCTCATATTAGTTTTTTGTGTGTATGATTTTTTTTCTTTATCTCTTGTTTCTTTCTAGTTTTTCTACTAATGTGTATCTCCTTTTATTGTCTTACCATTTCTTCCTCAAGTTCTAACATTTCTGCTTTATGGTATTCTAGTTAGAGTGAATTTTATTAATACATTTTTAATTTTATGGCAGAGTATTTGATCACAGTTTGAATCTGCACCATGACATTTTTCATGTAATTTTACTTTTGCTTTTTAAAAGTACTGTGTTTTAAAACATCTTAGTTGAAATAACTCTAGATTTGCAGAAAAGTTATAATACTATGAAGAATTCCATCTACCCTTTATCCCAATTCCCCAAATGTTAACCTTTTGCCACACTTGCTGTCTGTCTATCTATCTATCTAACTACTATTTTCTGAATCAATTAAAAATAAGTTGTAGACATGATGCTGTATTTCATGTAACTACATAAATATTTATTTCTTCAAATGTAAAAGCATTTTACTGCATAACCACAATGTACCAAAATCAGAAAATTAATAGGTAAAATGCTTCTTTCTACATTGAACATATTCACATTTTGCCAATTGTCCCAGTGATATATTTTATAACAAAAAAATAAATAAATAGTTTATCTGGTCCAGGGTCCAATAGAGGATTATGTGTTGCATTTAGTTGTCATGTCTCTTGATTATCTGACAATCCAGAACCCATATTCAGTCTTTTCTTTCATGACCTTGTTATTTTTTTGAAGAATGAAAGTTAGTTAAATTGTATCATACCTCTTATGTTTAGATTCATCTGATATTTCTTTGTGATTAGATTCAGCTTGTTATGTTCTGAATATTCATGTTTGTGTTCACCCCCCAAAATTCATACATTGAAACCTAATCACCAGTGTGATGGTATTAGAAGGTGGGGCCTTTTGGGAGGTGATGAGGTTGTTAGGGGACAGCCTTCATGATTGGGATTTATGCTCTTATAAAAGAGACTCCAGAGAGCTAACTAGCGCTTCTACCATGTGAAGACACAGCAAGAAGGTGCTGTTTTGTTGTGTTTTGAGACAGGCCCAACTGTAGCATCAGCTGACTCCATGGGGAAGCTCTGGATGACCCTTTAGTCTTGACTGGAAGCAGACTCTCACCAGACACCAAATCTATTAACACTTTGATCATAGACTTCCCAACCTCCAGAAATGTGAGAAACAAATTTCTGTTGTTTATACGCTACCCAATTTAAGGTTTTTAGTTATAGCAGCCTGAATGAACTAAGTCACAGCTTAGGCATTCAGGACAGGGATATGAGAGAAGCGATGCTGTGTTCTTCTCATTGTATTAATACTGCATCAGTAAACATATGGTGCTGATTTGTCCCATTACTGATGATAACACATTTATCACTCGTTTAAAGTGATATCTTCCAGGTTTCTCAATTGTAAAGTTTCTGTTTCTCTCTTTAGTAAGTATTTTGGAGGGATATGTTTTTAGACTGTAAATATGTTGTTCCTCAGTAATTATTTACCCATTCATTTCAGCATCCATCCAAGGTTCTTATCTCAATATGTTCTTATTATGGCTACCAAATTGTAATTTTCTCATTTCATCATTCTTTCTACATTTAACTTGCATTTGGCTGGAAGTAATAGCTTTTTCTTTCATATATATATATTCATATATATACACACACACACGCATGTATGTACACACACAAACACACACATCTCCTTATAGATTTCTGTTTATTTAATGAGTTTATAGTCTATTGTTATAATTATTTATCTTGTTGCTCTATTTGCTACGTATTTGGCAAACGGGGAAACCCCCCACCTAGAAGCTGAATACTGTCTTTTACTTTTTCCCTTCATATTCTTTTGTTTGAGCTCTTCTTTTCTGGCACAAGATCTTCCAGGGTCTCACTGTGTTGCCCAGGCTGGAGTACAGTGGTACCATCATGGTTCACTGCAGCCACTCCCTCCCTGGACTCGGGTGATTCTCCTGCCTCAGATTCCAGAGTAGTTGGGACAACAGGCACACCATTATGGCCAACTAATTTTTGTATTTTTTTTTTGTAGAAATGGGGTTTTGCCATGTTGCCCAGGCTGTTCTCAAACCAGTTTATATTATTCTTTCATTTCTCCAAGGAGCTCTTGTTCTACGTTAGAGAAGAATGATACTTAGAAACCAACATTGGAGCACTACGTCTGCTCACTGCTCCTGGGATTAATTGCTTCTAGGCTTTCCCACCAGGCAGAGGTAGAAAATGTCTGTCACTCACATACACAAACATTTGTATCTACTTCTGTATCTATCTGTCTATCTCTGTCTATCTAAGAAATTGTGTGTTCCCAGTGATAATTCCAATTGAAACATAATACCACAGGGATCATTCTGGCCATTGGCTTTTCATATTTGTAACTCATTTATCCAATAGTGAGAAACTTGGTTCTCATTATTCTCAATTTATTCACTTATTTGCTTTTTCCTCCTGTATATAATCAAACTCCTGACCCAGAAAGTTGCCTTCTAGGCCCTGCCCACCTCAATAGCCCCAATAGTTTCCTTGGTCCTAAAGTTTCTACTTGTGTTAGCTGCCTCAAAGGACAGGAAGTAAAAAGAATTAATAGATTTTTTTAAAGAAGGGGGAAAAATAAGAGACTTTTAAAAATAGTATTTCATTTATTATTATTATTATTATTATTATTGTTATTATTATTATTTTTGAGAAAAGTCTTGCTTTGTTGCCCAGGCTGGAGTGCAGTGGTACAGTCTCAGCTCACTTCAACCTCTGCCTCCCAGGTTCAATTTATTCTCCTGCCTCAGCCTCCTGAGTAGCTGGGATTACAGGCACCTGCCACCACACCCAGCTAATTTTTGTATTTTTAATAGAAATGGGGTTTTGCCATGCTGGCAAGGCTGGTCTTGAACTCCTCACCTCAAGTGATTCAGCTGCCTCAGCCTCCCAAAGTGCTGTGATTACAGGCATGAGCCTGGCCAAAACAGTAATTTAAAAATGGATTCTCTCCTTTTAAAATACTACTTATCATTGAATGAGTTAGGCTTTCCTGGACTGGCCATTTGTAAGAGGTTTCTTTTGGGATATGAAGGAAAGATAAAGTTTCTGGCTAAGTAATTTTCATAGAGCAAAAGCTTTCTCCTTTCCTGTTACAGAGTCATGTTACTTCTTATAAATATGATTTTTCTGTATAATTCTTTTTATAGCCCCAGGCCTTCTTAAGAAGAAAGACATGACAACTCAATCCATTCAGTCTTTGTACTAACGGTCACAAAAAAGGAATATTACTTTTTGGCTTCACAGTATACCCACACTTTCAGGAAGTATATTTTGCAAGTGCTTTTTGAGATCTATTTTTCAGTGGATCCCTGCTCTTGAGATTTATCACCAGGGATTCTTGTTTTCACTGCCCTTTCTGTGTATACAAAAAAATGTCATGTGCTTTTGATAGTGTTTGATATAAAATGGAGTCTGGGAGTTAAATATGCATCCAAGTTCTTCAAAAATAGTTTGCAAACTTATGAAAGCTTCTTCTTGTAGCTTTTGAATAATTTCCAAGAAAAAGGGAAAATGCTGATTTATAGAGTCATTCAAATTGTGTCTAAGTCCTCCAAAAATGTTTTTCAAACTTATAAAAGCATCTTCTTGTAGCTTTTGAATAATTTCCAGGAGAAAGAAAAGGTGCTGCTTTATATAGTTATGTTTGTAGTTGTCACATGTTGGCTTCTTCAGGAAGGAGGCTCTGAGATGAAGTTTAGCGTGAGGATGTTTATTAAAGTGTGCCCTTACCAAAGAGATCAATACAACTGGCAGGGAGGGAAAGAAAACAGTAGTAGTATTATGGTTTGGATGTTTACCTCTTCCAAATCTTATGTTGAAATATGATTCCAAATGTTGGAGGTGGGGACTGGCGGGAGGTGATTGGATCATGGAGAAAGGTCCCTCATGAGTGGTTTAGCACCATCCTCTCGGTGATGAGTGAGTTTCCTTTCAGTTCACACAGAGATCTGGTTGTTTTGAATCTGGGACCTCTCCCTTCTCTCTTTCTTGCTCTCATTCTCATCATGTGGCATATTGGCTACCCTTTGTCTTCCACCATGAGTGTAAGCTTCCTGAGTGCCTCAGCAGAAGATGACAGCACTATGTTTCGTGTACAGCCTGCAGAACCATAAGCCAATTCAACCTCTTTTATTTATAAATTCCTCAGTCTCAGCTATTTCTTTATAGCTAGCAAAAATTGCCTAATACAAGTAGGCAGAGGAAGAAGTTGTGCTGTGATACAGCCCAGCTTTAGCCTCAGCTGAATCCATAGGGAAGCTCTAGAACTAGAATGACCCTTTAGAGTTGCCTGAATGGGGCTAAGATCACCCATCAGTGATTATGTTAGTGGCAGTGAATCTATACTGGTCTCCAGCAACCTCAGTTCCTGCCTCCTCAGAAGAAAAAATTTGAGGGGCATAAAGGAGAAGAAGAGACTGAGACAAGTTTTAGAGCAGGAGTGAAAGTTTATTAAAAAGCTTTACAGCGGGAAGAAAAGTACACTAGGAAGAGGCCCAAGCAGGCCACTTGAAGGACAAGTGTGGGGTTTGACCTTTTGACTTGGGGTTTTATATCTTGACATACTTCCATGGTCTTGCATCCCTTATCTCTTTATTCTGCACTTGGAGCTGCCTGTTCTCATGCACAGTGTGTTACTGGAGTTATACGCATGCTCACTTGAGGCATTCTTCTCTTTACCAGTGGAATGCTTCTGGAAGGTCATATACCAGTTAAACTCCACCATTTTGCCTCTTAATGTGCATGCTTGAGCTCACTCACCCAATTCCTGAGATCTTTTTGGGAATCATCTATTATTATTTTAGAGAGGCAGTGTGACAACTGCCTGACCATCACCTGATGGTCACCTGACATTCCTGTTGGAGTTGGGGGAGCCCTCTCCTCCCCCGCTCATGCCTGGCTAGCTACCTACTGTAAAAATTAGTCATTAACGTAGGCCTCTAGAAGGGACGTGTGGCCTTGGGCAAACCAAGTCTTCCTGAAGAAGTGAACAGCTGAAAGATGTCTGCAGATAGCACTCCTCACTACTGGTGCAACAAGTCATTTCTTGAAAATAGGTTGTGGAAGCACATTTCAGTGTCCTGGTGCATAGCCTTTGAATACACACTCCTCTGAGTTATAGTTTTGATCTGATTTCATAGCCATTTATGACTCAAAAATATCAAGAATCACTGCATTATTGGGAACATTCATTATTTCTGTACCTTGTTTTTATCTAGAAAACTAAGGTTAATCTAGAAAGATTTGAGCTGAATTTCTAAAGCTACTCGGTAAAAATAAATATGTTGTTTTTACAGTCAGCAAATTTTCTTTAGTTATATGTTAGAATTATGAGTACTGAAAGCCCTTTGTAATTCCACTACATTACTAAAAGCTAAGACTCACCAACTGTGGATTAGTTACGCAGATATTTCAAAAACACTTGGAGGTTTTATTCAGAGGCTTAAGCCACACATCTCAGCGCTTGAGAGGGTAGCCTAGAACCAAGAGGGGGCAGCAGAGGGCCACCAGAACAGTGAGGGAGAGGTATGAGAACATGTCAGTTGAAAGGATACTGATTTTAGAGAGAGAAATACATTTATGTATTCATGCTAAACACAGAAGGAGGAGTTATGGCTTAAGAAAAATTGATTGTAAGCATATTGAGAGAATCTCTGGTTGTTCGTGGGTAGTGTTCATGGGACAAAAACTGAGCAGAGGAAAAGCAAGTAGAATTCAGGTTATAGGGAAGTCATGAGCTTCTTAGGGAACGTGTGCCTTTTAGATCTACGACCTATGGTTACTTCGGGCTCTTTATCACTGATAACATTAAGCACTCAGGGAACAATATGGGACCAGCGATAGCCTCAGTAATGTTTCCAGATATATATTTATATTGCTTTTCCACTAATTCCTAGACCAGAGTAATGGACTTAAGAGACATTCTTTCAAAGAAAATTTTTCCCCAAAGAACCAGTTTTTGCTTTTAGTGATCAAACTACATTTTCCTCTCAGTTTCTAGTTTGACTTATTATTTTTATAACTCTAACATTTTATGTTTTATTTTATTGAAGCATTTGTTCTTTTTATATTTTTCTGTAAAGTAATTTAAGCATAAGAGGTTATGAGTTTGCCCCAGTATAGCTTTATCATATCTTATATATATTTTAAGAGAAAGAGTTTTTTTTTTTTTAATTTTCTCAATATTCTTTACTGGAAGCTTTGGTTTCCTTTTAACCCAATAATTATTTAAGACATGTTTTCCATTTTCCACAAAGGCAAGCCTTTTTGTTTAAGCCATTGTCATTAAATTACAGTTTTATTACATTTTAGTCAGAAGATATGACTTTTATTACTTCTACTCTGGCATAAGGTTTTGTGTCCCAGTAGATAATTAATTTCTCTTTCATGAATTATTGAAAAGGATATATTTTCTATTACAAGTTATCTATTGTCTATCTAAACTCAACTTCATTAATTAGGTTAATTTTAGACTTTCCAATATTTTCCGAATTTTTAAAAAGAAATCCCTTTGAACTGTCAAAGCATGATGCTATGGTCTGAATATCTGTGTCCCCCCTGCAAATCTACATGTTGAAACTTAATCACCAATGTTACTGTGTTAGGAGTTAGGACCTTTGGGAAGTGAATGAGATCAGTGCTCTTATAAATTGGCTCCAGAGAGCTCCTTCGTCCCTTTCACCATGTGAGGACACAGCTAGAAGACACCATCTGTGAACCAGAAAGTGAGTCCTTATCAGACACTGAATCTGCTGGCACCTTGACTTCTTAGCCTTCAGAAATGTGAGAATTAAATTTCTGTTGTTTATAAGATACACAATTTATGATATGTTGTTATAACAGCCCAAACATATATGATGTATTGAAATCTTCTATGAAAAATTGTGTGATTTTCCTCAATTTCTTCATGTTTCTAACAGATTTTATTTTATTATGCATATCTGAAGCTGTGCTTTTCAGCATATAAATGTTTATTGTTCTATAACTTTGATATAGGTAGTGCCTCATAAGTAGTACCTCTTGTCTGAGAGTCTATTTTGTTTTCTTCCATGACCCTGTGAACTCCAAGGAGTTTTCTAAAATATTTTCTGCTTTGGTAGTATGCAAAATTCCTAGGCCTGAAATTTCTTTAATTATCTTTACATGAGGGGTGGTCTAGCTAGTCCAGTCTTTGCCGACTTAACCTTGGTCTTCCTCTCTGTACCTTCACTCTAGTTATATTGAATTCTGGACCACAGCCAGGGACCACATTGTTCCCACTAATCCTGTTCTTGCAGTCATTTATCTACTGTGGCTCTTCTGGAAAGAAACGGGATCTTCTCCCATCCTCTCTGCTTGCTTTATTGCTTGCTTTAAATATTTAACTATTTTATTAAGTTGTCCTTAAGAGTCATGAGACATATATGCCCATGTTAATATCAAATAAAAATTTTGAAAAACCTATTAGTAATTTAAAATCAATTACTAAATCCCACTTTATATACGGCCAAGTTAATTCCACACAGACCTTGAACTTTCTTATTTGAGAACATGCTTGATTAATTCAAATTAAATCCAAACACCAAAAGTTCAGAAAACTTGAAAGGAATGCTATGGCATTAAAAAACTTTCATTTAATCTTTGGAATAGTAAGAAAAATCTGCTTGCTAGTTTGGAAGTTGCTAGCTCTGAGACCTTAATTGAGCCATCTAACTTTTCTGGACTTCTATTTACCCTTTTCTAAAACAGTAGGCATTGGGCCAATGGTACAATATGGAACTTCTTCCTGGCAGGTGTTCAGAAGTATGTAGGGCTGTTTTTGTTGTCACAGTAACTGAAGAGTGCTATGGCACAAGGGTTTAAAACATGAGACAGTTTTATACTAAAGAGAATTGTCTCAACAAAATGCCAAAAATACCCCCTTGGGAAATACTGGAAGATGATCAGCAAGTTTTACTAATTTTGTGGTTCCAGAACAGGTGGTGAAAAATAATGGGAAAAAAAATTGCCTTTAAGTAAATCTTGAAGATGGCAGACTTAGCACTCTCACACAGAGAAACAGGGTAGAGAGTAAACACTTGCTCTTCAAGTGGGTCATCAAAGGGATCGTTTCTGGATTCACCAAAGAAGCGACAGGAACCAAAAAGAACAAACAGAAGTGAAGCCAGGCAGCCTCCTACTCAGAACTGGTGTGGAGCCAGCGGAAGCCTCCTAATGTGGAGAAATGATGAGGGAATGAGTGTCCCCAGAGGATCCACACTTCCTCCGTGAACCTTGCAATCCTGGGCATGGGAGAACCTCCCTGACACCTTCACTCCTCCAGGCCAATACAGAGAGCCACCTGGAGTCTTTGCACAGGCACTGTTTAAGCCCATGTGAAGCCCCAGAGGACTTGGACCCTTGGTGTCAACAGTTATAGCCCTGCTAGAGGATGCAGCCACAGTGCTGAGGAGTGGCCAGACTGCCCTGCTATTTCCTGCCAGGCAGGATCTACAGCTTGGGCTCCCAGCACAGTGGCCCTGCCCCCAATCCAAACATTTTGGTTGGTGACAGCTCCTCATTCTTCTGAGCCAAAACTCTCAGAGGTAATAGACAAGGTTTAGCACCTCTGCATGCCACCAATAGCAAAGTCCACCCTCTTGGGTGGGAGGGAAGTGCAAGTGTATCACATGCCCTACAGTCTTTACTGCTGCAGCTGAGGGGGTCCTGCCTTCCTCGGTGGAAGGCCCATAGCACAGCTGCCCTGCCCCCACCTGAACATTTCACCTGTGGTCCAGAGCCCTTCTGAAAGCCCAACCCCCACAGGCCTGTAATATCCCCTCAGATCCTCTACCACTTAAGTGTTCCATCTGCCCCTGCCTGAGAGTTTGGTTGGTGATCTGGGGACCAGGCCACCCCTCCCCATCACAGCCAGCACTTGACTTCTGGGCTAGCCCAACCCTAGTCCTGGCCCTTCAGGAGTCATATATGCTATCTAGTGGGCCACCTGGGGCCTCGGAACTGGGGAAACTACCTACCCCATTCCAACTCAGCTGGCATCTGGCCGATTCCCCCAGTGTCTGAGGTCAAGCTGACCAAATCAGCCAATACCACCACACAACTCACTTGCATGAGTCCAAATGTGGAGCCACCCCTTTATAAGAAGCGGAAGTACTCTCACATTGGAGAACAGGAGAGCCAGGAAGCTATATGTATCCGGTTGGGTGACAAGATTATACCCTGAAACCACTTCCACAGAGAGTGGTGAAACAGGTGTTTCCCATGGCTTTCAACCATATTGTGGTCCAGAGTGGTCCAGCTGCTGCAGCCTCTCCCCCACATGGAGACTCATTTCCCCAGATGATCCTCCTAGTCACTCTTGTCAGAGCTGGTGTTTACACTTGCCATCTCTGTATTCATAGGCAAGCTTGGGGCTCCAGCTCAACCCAGCTGTGTCCCCCAACCCCCATGAAAAGCTCAGGGCACCAGGTACTTCACTGTCCAGTCCTTCACCCAAGACAACAGAAAGCACCTCATGGTAAAGAAAGATCAGGTACACAACTACCTGCTTGTGCTACAGTGCTCTTACCTGCAAGTGCTGTCTACTGGCCTGTAGGTCAAACCACATGGCATAGTATAAAATCTGAAGTGACAGAAGTGCAAAGGGCTATAGAAGTAAAGCCAAAAGACCCTAACCAACACATTTATCTCCAGATTTGAAAGAACTAGTATAAGAATTCTGGCACCATGAAAAATATGAATGTTGCAACACCACCAAAGGATCATTCTTTTCAGAAATGGTCTCTAACCAAAATGGAAGCTCAGAAATGACAGTTAAAGAATTCAAAGCATAGATGTCAAGGAAACTTGATGAAATCCAACACAAGATTTAAAATCAATACAAATACACTTCTAAAGTAATCCAGGAAACTAAGGAAAAGATAAATCTTCTAAAAAGAAATCAATCAGAGCTCCTGGAATTAAAAATTGCTTAAGAAATTCTAAAATACAATTGAAAGTTTTATCAGTAGACTAAACCAAAGAGAAGAGAGGATTTTAGAGCTTGAAAACTATTCTTTTAAACTAATCCAGTCAGACAAAAATTTTTAAAAATTCAAAAAATGAGCAAAGTCTCCAAGAAATATGAGATTACTTAAAGTGACCAAGTCTATAAATTATTGGCATTCCTAAAAGATAAGGATACAAAGTAAACCTGAAAAATATATTTAAGGGAATAATTCAAGAAAATTTTCCTAATCTTGCTAGAGATTTCTTATATCCAGATGCAAGAAATTCAGAGAATACTTTCCAGATACTATACAAAATGAATGTTATTAAAGGATATAGTCACCAGACTGCCTAAGGTCAATGCTAAAGAAAAAACTTGAAAGATAGCTAGAGAAAAAGGTTAGATTACATGCAAAGGCAACCGCATCAGGCTAAAAGCAGACCTTTCAGCAGAAACCTTTCAAGCTTGAAGAGATTGGGAGCCTATTTTCAGCATTCTCAAAGAAAAGAAATTCCAATCAAGAATTTTATATCCTGCCAAACTAAGCTTCATAAGTGAAGGATAAATAAAATCTTGTTCAGACAAGAAATCACTAGGGGAGTTTGTTACCTCTAGACCAGCCTTACAAAAGATTATTCAGGAAGTTTAAACATGGAAACAAAAAACAATACCTACTACCATAAAATCACACTTAAGTATATAGCCCACAGAACCTATACAACAACTACACAATAGCAACTACAAAGCAACCAGCTAACAACTTTATGATAGAATCAAAACTTCACATTATAATATTAGCCATGAATGTAAATGGTATTCACACCCTACTTAGAAGGCAAAGAGCAGCAAGTTGGATAGAAAAGCAAGACCCATTCATCTGCTGTCTTCAAGAGACTCAGCCCACATGTAACGACACCCATAGTCTCAAAGGGTTGAAGAAAGATCTATCATGTAAGTGGAAAACTAAAAGAGATCAGGGGTCATTATTCTTAGACAAAATAGACTTTAAAACATCAACAATAAAAAAAGACAAAGAAGGGCACTACATAATGATAAAGGGTTTAATTGAACAAGAAGACTGAACTATCCTAAATATATACATAATCAACAATGGAGCACCCAAATTAATAAAATAAGTACTTCCAGACCTATGAAAAGACTTAGCCACGCAATTATAGTGGGGGACTTTACCATTCCACTGATGGCATTAGACAGATCATAGAGGAAGAAAACTAATAAGAAAGTCTGGGCTTAAATTCAACACTTGACCAACTGGACACAATAGGCATCTACAGGACACTCTACCCATCAACCAACCACAGAATATACATTCTTCTTATCTGCACATGAAACATACTCTCAGATCGACCCCATGCTCAGCCATAAAGCAAATATTAATAAATTTAAAAAATCAAAATAATACCAACCATACTTTTGGGCCACAGTGGAACAAAAATACAAATCACTACCAAGAAATTCTCTCAAAACCACCCAATTACATGGAAATGAAATAACTTGCTCCTGAATGCTGTATTCATCTGTTTTTATGCTGCTGATAAAGACATAACTGAGACTAGGCAATTTACAAAAGAAAGGTGTATTGGACTTACAGTTCCACGTGGCTTGGGAGGCCTCACAATCATGGTAGAAGGTGTACAGCACACCTCATATGGTGGTGGACAAGGGAAGAGAGCTTGCGCAGGGAAAGTCCCATTTTTAAAACCAGTAGATCTCGTGAGACTCATTCACTATCAGGAGGACAGTGCAGGAAAGACCTGCCCCCATAATTCAATCACCACTCACCAGGTTCCTCCCATGACATGTGGGAATAGTGGGAGTTACCATTCAAGATGAGATCTGGGTGTGGACACAGCCAAACCATATCAAATGACTTTTGGGTAAACAACAAAAATAAGGCAGGAATAAAATACTTTTTTGAAATAAAACAGACACAACATACCAAAATCTCTGGGATGCAGCAAAAGCAATGTTAAGAGGAAAGTTTATAGCATTAAATGCCTACATCAAGACTTTAGAAGGATTTCAAAGTAATGAGCTAACATCACATCTAGACAAACTAGAAAAACAAGAACAAACTACAAAGCCAGTAGAAGAAAAGAAATAACTAAAATCAGAGGAGAACTGAATGAAACGAAGAGGCAAAAATCCTTACAAGGGATCAATGAAATATAAAGTGAGTTCTTTAAACGAATAAACAAGATTGATGACCACTAGCTAGATTAACAGAGAAGTGAGAGAAGATTCAACTAAGCTTAATCAGAAATGCCAAAGGCAACATTAGAACTGATCTTATGGAAATACAAAAGATCCTCAGAGACTATTATAAACACCTCTATGTATACAAATTAGAAAATCTAGAGGAAATGAATAAATGCCTGGAAACACACAATCTCCCAAGACTGAATGAGGAACAAATTGAAAGCCTGAACTGACCAATATCAACTTCTAAAACTGAATCAGTAATTTAAAAACCTACCAACCAAAAAGAACCCTGGATCAGATGGATTCACAGCCTAATTCTACCAGACATACAAAGAAGAGTTGCTACCAATCCTACTAAAACTATTCCAAAAAACTGAGGAACAGGGACTCTTCTCTAACACATTGTACAAAGCGAGCATCACTCTGATATTGAAATCTGTCAAAGAAACAACCAAAAACAAACTTCATGTCAATATCCCTAATGAATATAGGCAGAAAAATTCCTAATAAAATACTAGTAAACCAAATCCAGCACCACATCAAAATTTATTCACCACATCAAGTAGGTTTTATTCCTAGCAGTCAGGGTTGGTTGAATGTATGCAAATTAATAAATCTGATTTGCCACATAAACAGAATTAAAAACAAAAACCATATGATTGTCTCAGTAGACACAGAAAAAATCTCTTGATAAAATCCAGCATCCCTTCATGAAAAGAACACTCAACAAACTAGTCATCAAAGAAACATATATCAAAATATTGAGAGCCATTTATGAGAAACCACAGCCAACATCATACTGAATGGACAAAAGCTGGAAGCATTTTCCTTAAGAAATGGAACAAGACAAGGATGCCCACTCTCACCACTCCTATTCAACGTAGTACTGGAAGTCCTAGCCAGAGATATGAGGGAAGAGAATGAAATAAAACGCATCCAAATAGGAAAAGAAGAAGCCAAATTTCATCTCTTTTTGCTGATGATCTAATTCTATACCTAGAAAACCCTAAAGACTTCACCAAAAGCCTCCTAGAACTGAAAAGTGACTTCAGTAAAGTTTCAGGATACAAAATTTATGTACAAAAATCAGTAGCAATAACATTTAAGTGGAGATCCAACTCAAGAATGCAATTCCATTTACAATAGCCACATAAAAATAAAATACCTAAGAATACATCTAACAAAGGAGGTGAATGATATCTACAAGGAAAACTATGAAACACTGCTGAAAGAAGTTATAAATGAGACAGACAAATGGAAAAATATTACATGCCCATGGATTGGAAGAATCATATTATTAAAATGGCCATACTTCCCAGAGAAATCTATGGATTCAATGCTATTTCTATGAAACTATTCAGCATAAAATCAGCATCTTTAATCTATTCAGCATTGATGTCATTGGCTACCCAGTGAGATATTAAAAATAGTGGGAAAAAAGTACTCAACAGGGTTTGAATTTCTAAGTGGTAGAGATTATATCACATTCTTTTTTTTTATATTAAGTATCCAGTATATACTAAATGCTCAGTAGATATTAATAAAATAGAATTGTAACACTGAGGAAGGGAAGAGAAGATTGCTTCTACATTCTAACACTTTTCTGTAGATAAATTTTTGTTTGCATTACATTTACACAGTTAGCACAAAAAACAATTTCCTTTGAGTCATTTCCAATAATGCTAAATATAAACCTTTATGCTGTGCAGCTAGGAGTTTACACAAACAATGCTGTCCAAGATTGTCTTTAGAATTTTTCTGACTGCTCCAGAGGATTAAGAACTTACCCCTACTCACAAGCATAGAATCCTAGATATGGCCAATTCCTAGAAAACAAGTAGGCATTGCATTTTCTTAGATATGGAGAAATTTATTTTGCATGAGTTATATGTTGTATTAGTTTGTTCTACACTGTGATAAGGGCATACCTGAGACTAGGTAATTCATGGAGAAAAGAGGCTTAATTAACTCACAGTTCTACAAGCTGCACAGGAGGCATGGCTGGGGAAGACTCAGGAAATTTGCAATCATGGCAGAAGGTGAAGGGGAAGCAGGCACAGTCTTCATATAGTAGAGCAGGAGAGAGAGAGCAAAGGTGGAAGCACTACATACTTTTAAACAACCAGATTTTGTGAGAACTCATTCACTACCACAAGAACAGCAAGAGGAAGTCTGCCCCCATGATTCAATCACCCCCCACCAGGACCCTCTCCCAACACGTGGGGATTACAATTTGACATGAGATTTGAGTGGGGACCAAGAGTCAAACCATATCATTCTGCCCCCAGCTTCTCCCACATCTCATGTCCTTCTCACATTCCAGAACACAATCATGACTTCCCAACAGTCCCCTAAAGTCTTAACTCATTCCAACATTAACTTAAAAGTCCAACTCCAAAGTCTCATTTGAGACAAAGCAAGTCCTTTCTGCCTATGAACCTGTAATATCAAAATCAAGTTAGTTACTTCCAATATACAGTGGGGCTACAGGCATTGGGTAAATGCTCTCATTCCAAAAGGGATAAATTGGCCAAAACAAAGGGGCTACAGGCCCTAGTGGAGGTTCTCTGTGATGGCTCTGCCACTGCAGCGGACTTCTACCTGGACATCCAAGTGTTTCTATACATCCTCTGATATCTAGGAAGAGGCTTCCAAACCTCAACTCTTTCCTTCTGTGCACCCTCAGGCCAACACCACATGGAAACCACCAAGGCTTGCAGCTTACAGTGTTTGAAACAATGGCTCGAGCATTACTTTGGCCCCTTTTAGCGATGGCTGGAGCTGGAATGCCTGGGATGCAGGGTGCCATGTCCTGAGGCTGCATAGAGCAGTGGGGCCCTGAGTCTGGCCCATGAAACCATTTTTCCCTCCTAGACCTCCAGGCCTATGATGGAAGGGGCTACCAGGAACGTCTCTGAAATGCGCTGAAGGCAATTTCCTCATTGTCTTGGCTATTAACATTCAGCTCTTCTGCAGCCTTGAATTCTTCCTCAGAAAATGGATTTTTCTCCTCTACTGCATAGTCATGCTGCAAATTTTCCAAACTTTTGTGATAAGTTCTAGTTTCAGTTCATTTCTTTGTTTATGCAAATAAGCATAGGCTTTTAGAAGCAGCCAGGCCACTTTTTTTTTTTTTTTTTTTTAATTTTATTTTATTTTTTTCGAGATGGAGTTTTGCTCTTGTTTCCCAGGCTGGAGTGCAATGGCACAATCTTGGCTCATTGCAACCTCTGCCTCCCCAGTTCAAGTGATTCTCTTGCCTCAGCCTCCCAAGTAGCTGGGATTACAGGCCTGCACCACCACACCCAGCTAATTTACACCTGGAATGTCTATATCACTATCAGCATTTTGGTCCAAAAAAAATTAACAAGTCTCTAGGAAGTTCCAAACTTTCCCTCATCTTTCTGTCTTCTGAGCTCTCCATACTGTTCCAATTTCTGCCCATTACATAGTTCCAAAGTTGCTTCCACATTTTCAGGTATCTTTATAGCAATGCCTTACTTCTCTGGTACCAATTTTCTGTAGTAGTCTATTTTTATGCCACTATAAAGACATACCTGAGCCTGGGTAGTTTATGGAGAAAAGGGGTTTAATTGACTCACAGTTCTGCAGGCTGTACAGGAGGCATGGCTGGGGAGGACTCAGAAAATTTACAATCAGAAGAGGGCAAAGGGGAAACAGGCACAATCTTCGTTTGGCAGAACAGAAGAGAGAGAGAGTGAAGGGGGAAGTGCTACACACTTTTAAATAATCAGATCTTGTGAGACTCATTCACTATCACAAGAGCAGAAAGGGGAAAGTCTGCCCCCATGATTCAATCACCTCCCACTAGGCCCTTCCTCAACCTGTGGGGATTACAATTCCACATGATGTTTGGTTGGGGACAAAGAGCTAAACCACATCATGTGTCAAACATATTTTCTTTATATACATACTGAATATAGTAAATTCTAGATATTTTGGAGATGAATTCTGCAGCTCATGAATTATGTAGATCCTGTTTTTTTTCTTTCAAATCTCAGTAATTTTTCATTGCTAATTACATATTTTCCTTGAAAGAGTCAGTCAAGAGTAGTGTCTTAGTTAGCTTAGGCTGCTATAACTATACACTGCAAACTGGGTGGTTTAAACAACAAGCATTTATTTCTCACAGTTCTGGAGCCTGGGAAGTCCAAGATCAAAGCATGGGCAGATTTAGTGTCTGGTGATGGCCTAATTCCTGCTTCATATGCGGTCTTCTCTCTGTGTCTTCATGTAGTGAAAGAGGGAAGTCTCTTTCAAGATTCTTTTAAGGACACTAATTCTATTCAGGAGGGCTCCACCTTAATGACCTCATCTAATTCTGATTACCCACGAAAGACCCCACTTCCAAATGCCATCACATTAGGAGGTAGGATTTCAGTATATAAATTTGCAGGGGACATGAACATTCAGTACATAACAGGTAGTGGGTCTCTGAAATGTTCATGTAGCAATTCTTGTAGAGATTCAAAAGTCACAGATGAAGTAGAAATTATGCCTAATAATTGGCTTATGGATTGCTTGTAAATTTATCCAAATGCTATTATTGTTATGGAGAGTTGTTATTCAATGTTAAAAATTTATGTAAATATTTCTGTTTATTAAAACTCAATTCAAACTGGCTTAAGAAATTAAGAAGAGTTTATTTTATATTTCAGCGTGACTGAGTCCAGGGATTTAAATGAGCTCTTCAGGATTATCTCTTTCTCTATCACTTATCTTTCTTCTTTTATGATTATAGTGTCATTTTCTTCCATGACCACAAGCTTCCTTCAGGAAGGATTTATCTCAGCCCAGTTAGTATCCCAAAAGAAAGAGAGGGCTAGTTTATTTTGGGGTATTACAAGGCAAAGTGAATACCCTAGCACTGGTCCTATTCATTCCTCTCCTGTTTCCCAGGACCAGAGCAATGGAGGATCCTGGCTGGTGAGACACAGTGATTTTTAACACCTCACCCCCCAGGCTAGGGTGTAAAACAATTTTCCAAATAAACTGGGGACTCTGACACCAAATAAAATGTAGGAGAGAGGAAAATAATACAGGAGCACCAAAACAAATGAAACCCAAAGTGGTTTCTGTTATATTTAGTCAAACATGTTCAACTACATTCTAGTTTCTGGTAATGATAATGAATTGATTCCAATGCACTTCATGAAAGTTTCCCCAAGGATTTTCTAGGGATTAAAAACAGATAACAATACATATCCTTCAGAAATATGCTAATGAGAGATATATTCATATGCATTTTTTTCATTGCTGGCTCAGTGTTCTGGGCCTATGTTTGTTGCCTTTTGTGGTAGACTTTGCGGTAATGATAAATATTTTTTTTATGAGGCTTTATTACTGTTGTCAAATCTTTTGATCTTAAGGATTATGGCTGAAAAACTCTAATAATCTGAATTATTTCCTTAAATAAAGTTTTTGCTTCTTTCTCTTTCTGGTTCTTCCTTATTTTAGAATCTTTATAATCAACTAAATGCATTTTCCTTCTGATAAAATAACTCATTTAACTATAAATTTCACCACATCTTAGGGACTATGGGCCTTGACTACTTGGGAAGAATATGCATTTAATGAGGCATGTTTTATTTACTGTGTTCCAAATGGTACTTATACCATTAGGTGATTAGTGTTCATCTGCTGAGTGCAGTTGCTCAGAAAATGCAACCCTTCATTTAAGATTCCTTGGAACTTGATGTCAGTCTCTCTGAATGCATATTTTCTCTGATTTTAGCATGTTTGTTAGAAATCCCTGGATGCTCAGAGATATTTTCCATAGCTTGAACAATGATTTAGCACAAATTGTGTTGCATTTTCTGGCTTTAAACAGTTATTTTAAAAATTAAAATTTTACCCTGTTATGTAATATTTTTCACATTTCTATTGTATTTTGTTATAGACATCCTTATATAGTTTATCTACTGAAGGATAATCATTTTGCATAACTGTAGTACATAAAATGTGTTGGTTTAGAAATATGTAAAGATTTCAATGCAGACACTTTTCAGGTCATGTCCTGTTGTGGGCCAGCCTCAACACCATCCGTAGGGTATCCGAAGTCCGGTGGTAACAAAGGAATGAGAAGAGACAGGTTAAGAGTTCTTAAAGGTGGGAGTCAGGGGGCCAGTTTTAAAATGGAGGCTGCAAAACGCCCCGAGCTCTGGTTTCTACTTGATTTATTGAGTACAATCACTTAGATCTAAGAAGCAGATGTTTAGGGCAAAACAGTGACAGGGAGGCAGTACGTCATAGGCGTTATCTATAGTAATAGTGGTTTAAATGAATTTTCTTTGTGTTCAAACAGTGTATCTTTATCGGAGAGTAGTTGGTGGGAGTGGGCTTAACTAGGAGCCTGTACGTCTGTCCACATTTTAATGTTTTAAAGGAGTATCTTTTTTCTTGAACACAGTGTTTACAGATAAGAGAGCAGATCTCGCTCTGAGCATGGGAACATGATGGCAATTAGGAGGCTTTCCTCCTCAGAGGCCTCTTGTGGCTTTCCACAACTTATTGTCCCATATTTTTATGGCCAGTTTATACAGGCACCCCACAAGCCCTTTTCCCAACATGTCCCCCTTTTTTCTTTTTTAAAACTGTCATTGTTATTATGGTTTGTTTGTGGTGTCTGGTCTCTCTCCAGAGGTGTCTTTCGCATCTGTAGACTAAAAGTAAACAGCATAAATAGATACACATTAAAGTAAAATTTGTAATAGTTGATCCTCCAGTGGTCTTAATTTATTTAAGAGGGTTTTCGTTTGAAAGTCCATTAGTAGTTTTGGTGAGAATGTCAGTCTCAGGCAGGAGAGTTGAATGACCCTGAGTCCCTTTAAAAACCTGTTTTATTAATTTGACTAAATTTAATATTAATTTTTTATCCCTTTTTTTAGATGATATTTAACTTTTTTAAAATGATGTTTAGTAGTATTATATGAATAGGGAGTTATGTAGAAATCAGAAGTATTTTAATCACATTGTATTTGTAATTGATGCTTTAAGCTTATTATATGATCTTTCATTTAAATAACAGTCTATATAAGATTATTTATTTGATTTGTTAATTGTTGGTCTGTTTAGGTCTGAGTTCCACAATTTTTGAGGAATTTTTTTGTCAATTATTGACATATTTTGTAGTTTGAATAGAGGAGTGTAAAGTAATTCCAGCAGCCACAGCAGTAGCTGTGACTGCAATAAGGCCCATAATGACTGTTATAAGGCTAAAAATAAATCTTTTTGTTTTGGTAAACACTTTTTTTTAACATTTTTGTGACCATATGAATGGAAGGAGAGGCTTTTTAAGGTCTATTGAGGAAAACTGGTATCCAAACTTTTTTTAAATCTTTACCAGTAACACAGATGTTTTTTCACCAAATGTGAAATCAATACAGGTGAAAAGGTGACAGTTTTGACAAGTAATAGTTTGATAATTAGGTCGAATATTAATATTTTCAAACATTAACATAAAAGGAGGTTTGACAGAACTTTGGGCACCGTTTGGTGGGAAGAAAACTGATACACAAATTGAAGTCTCTCATCATTTTTTTAAAGATTATATATATTTTTAAACCCGAATATGAGTTTGGGCCATCATTAACTTCCATAATTTGGGAATTATGTTTAGGGCCTATTATTGGTTTAATTATTTTTGGATGTGGGCCAGCCATACTAAAATTGGCCCAAATTATGGGAAACTGGGCATGTTGTTTAGTGTAAGTAGTGTCATCTTTTTGATAGTATAGTTTTTGTTTCAGTCCTGTCATGTATTTATTATTTTGATTGGTACAATTAACTGTAAAGGTCCCCTTAGGAGACCAATTAATGACGATTTTATAGGAATTATTTTGTAGTACCAGTGTGATTGGAGATGTAATTTTTTTTTTTTTTTTTTTTTTTGAGACGGAGTCTCGCTCTGTGGCCCAGGCGGGAGTGCAGTGGCGCAATCTCGGCTCACTGCAAGCTCCGCCTCCCGGGTTCACGCCATTCTCCTGCCTCAGCCTCCCGAGTAGCTGGGACTACAGGCGCCCACCATCACGCCCGGCTAATTTTTTTTGTATTTTTAGTAGAGACGGGGTTTCACCGTGTTAGCCAGGATGGTCTCGATCTCCTGACCTCGTGATCCGCCCGCCTCGGCCTCCCAAAGTGCTGGGATTACAAGCATGAGCCACCGCGCCCGGCCGTAATTTTTTAAAATTAATATTTTTAAATTTTTTCACCATTGTTGAGGCTGTTAATCCCTCTTTTTGGGGGGTTTAAATTGTTTTAATTGAACCAAACTTTGTGAATGATCTGGGTTCTATTTAGAAAATAAATGATAGAGTACTGGTTTTTTATTATGACCTGGAATTTTAACAGTCAATGTTGTCAGTAGTCTTTTAGGCAACTGATAGTTGGCCCTATGTAAAGAGGGGGAACTGATAACTCATGGACACATTTATTAACATTTACTTCTTCTCTGGGTGAGAGGGTTTATAAGTATCTGTAGGCTCAGGCATCTAAACACTATTATTAACATAAACCTCAACCAGGGGTTTTAACCATGTAACAGGCCTAATTAAAGGCAGAAATGGGACATATATCTAATAGGTATAATTTTGGTTTGTTGTAGTTACAGGGAGACTTACCGTCATAGTAATTACCGTATTATAGTCACCATCAGGTTACTTGAAGTTAGTGGGTTTTGTTGTGTCTTTAGGTGTTTTTTTTGTAAGTTGGGTCCATCATTTGATTTGTTTTCAAGCTGGTGGGCTCATTTGATGGGTTTTGTTGGTCTTTACCTGGTTGGCTGAAATGTGTATTTGAGCCATCAGGCGTGTTGGGGGCGGGGGTGGAAATCTTGGCTTAAAAATTTTTTTTTTTTTTTGGAATTTTGTTTATGGTAGAGTTTAAGATGTTTTGTAGGTACCCAAACTGGAAGTTGTTTTTTTTCTGGGGAAATACAAACAAACCCTCTTTCCCGTGTAATAACTTTTCCTCTTTTTTAGGTCTTTGTTTTTGAGTTTTTTTTACCACACAGGTTTTTCTTTATGAACATTTACCTTTTGTCCTGTTAAATGTTGTTTAGTTGTTGTAGTAACCTGATTTTGGGAGATGTTTAAAAAAATTTAAGGTAACAAGAGCCAATTGTAACTGTATATGAGGGGTGGAATATTTTTAATTTTTTTAATTTTTTGTTTATGTAATTGTATTTTTAAGATTTGATTGGCTTGTTTCACAATTGTTTGTCCTTGAGAATTATAGGGAATGCTTGTGTTGTGTTTAATGTTTTATTGTTTTAAAAATGTTTGGAAAGATCTGCTACAGTAGTCTGGTCCATTGTCTGTTTTTAATTTTTGTGGAATTTCCATGATAGTAAAACAGGAAAGTAAGTGTCTTTTTATATGTGTTGTAGTCTTGCTGGTTTGGCAAGTAGTCCATATAAAATAAGAATATGTATTTATGGTCGCATGGACATAAGAAAGTTTGCCAAATGTAGGAACGTGGGTGACGTCTGTTTGTCAGATTATGTTAGGTGTCAACCCTCAAGGGTTAACACCAGTTTTTTGATGCGGTAGTTGTAGTACCTGGCACTGAGGACAATGTTGTACAATGTCCTTGGCCTGATTTTACATAATTTGATATTTGTTTTTAAGTCCTGTTGTGTTAAGGTGTAAGGTGTGTTATTGAGTGGAAACTTTGGGCATTAGTAAGTATGGGGGAAACCAACAAGTCAGCTTGTTTATTAGTCTTAGTCAAGGGTCCTGGAAGATTGGTATGTGCTCAGATATGAGTTATATAGAAAGGAAAACCCTGAGTACGCACAGCTGTTTGTAAAGAGTTGAACAATTGATAAAGCTGTTTACCAATAATATATTTAATTAAGGCAGTTTTAATATGTTGAGTAGCTTGTACAACATAAGTTGAATTTGAAACAATATTAACTGGCTGATTAAAATTTTTTTTTTTTAGAGACAGAGTCTTGCTCTGTCGCCCAGGCTGGAATGCAGTAACGCCATCTCGACTCACTGCAAGCTCCGCCTCCTGGGTTCACGCCATTCTCCTGCCTCAGCGTCCCGAGTAGCTGGGACTACAGGTGCCCGCCACCATGCCCAGCTAATTTTTGTATTTTTAGTAGAGACGGGGTTTCACCGTGTTAGCCAGGATGGTCTTGATCTCCTGACCTAGTGATCCGCCCACCTCAGCCTCCCAAAGTGCTGGGATTACAGGCGTGAGCCACCGCGCCCGGCCTAAAATTTTTTAATACTGTAATTACTGTTTGTAATTCAGCTCTTTGGGCTGAGGAAAAGTTAGTGTGGATAACTTTATCACATGGTCCCATATATGTCGCTTTTTCAGTACTAGAGCCATTAGTAAAAACAGTTACAGTTCCTTTTAAAGGGGCATTAGGAGTAATTTTTGGAAGAACCCATGTAGTTAATTTTAAGAACTGGAAAATTTTATTTAGGATAATGATTATTAATACATTTAACAAATTTTGTTAAATTAACTTGTCACGTAACTGAATTAATAAATGCTTGTTTAACCTGATTTTTATGTATTGGAACTACAATCTTATTGGGCTTAGTGCCATAAAGTTTAACAATTTGTATATGAGCCTGTCCAATTAAAATTGTCTTTTTTTTTTTTTAAGATGGAGTCTCACTCTGTTGCCCAGGCTGGAGTCCAGTGGTGCGATCTCGGCTCACTGCAAGCTCTGCCTCCCAGGTTTGCGCCATTCTCCTGCCTTAGCCTCCCGAGTAGCTGGGACCACAGATGCCCACCACCACACCCAGCTAATTTTTTTGTATTTTTAGTAGAGACAGGGCTTCACCATGTTAGCCAGGATGGTGTCGATCTCCTGACCTCGTGATCTGCCCACCTCGGCCTCCCAAAGTGCTGGGATTACAGGTGTGAGCCACCACACCCAGCTTAAAATTGTCATTTGATCAAATATACTGTAAGCATTTTTATGGTATTATGTGGCAAAAAGGACCACTTAACTAAATCATCATTTTGAATAATAACCCCCATTGGGTAGTGGGAAGTAGGGAACACTGTGAATTGTAAAGGCAAGTCTGAGTCAATCCTACTGATCTGGGCTTGTTGAGTTTTTTTTTTTTAATTACTTTTAATTCTTTTATGGCCTTGGGTGTTAGTTTTTTTTTACTGTGCAAGTTGAAATTTTTTTCTCAATATTGAGAAGAGATTAGATATAGTATAAGTAGGGATCTTTAAGTTGGGCTGAATTCAATTAATATCTTCTAACAATTTTTGAAAATTATTTAAGGTTTTTAAAGAATTTTTTTAAATTTGAACCTTTTGAGGCTTAATGGCTCTATTCCGCACTTGTATTTTCAAATACTGAAAAGGAGTGGTTTTTTGAATTTTTTTCAGGTGTTCTAAGCAATCCAGTGTTTGTAATTGTCTTTTGCAAAGATGAATAACATTGAATAAGTTGGTTTTTATTTTTTGTTGTACACAGTATGTCATCCATATAATGAATGATGTAACAATCTGGAAATTGATTTTTAACAGTCTGGATAGCTCTGTCTACAAAAGTTTGACAAATTGTGGGACTGTTTAACATACCCTGAGGCAAAACTTTTCAATGATATCTGGCTGTAGGTTTTTTGTTATTAACGGCAGGGATGATAATGGTAAATTTTTCAAAACCTGTCTCTGTTAAAGGAATTGTAAAAAAGTAGTCTTTTAAATCTATAATAACAAGTGGCCAGTCTTTAGGGATCATGATGGGAGATGGGAGCTCGGGTTGTAAGGCTCCCATTGGTTGAATTACAGCGTTGACTGCTTGCAAGTCAGTCAGCATGTGCCATCTACCAAACTTTTTAAATTACAAATACTGGGGAATTTCAAGGAGAGAAAGTGGGTGAAATATATCCTTTTTTTTAGTAGTTTAACTATTTTATGAAGTGTCCCCAATTTTTCCTTAGGGAGCAGCCACTGTTTGACCCAGATAAGGTGCTGGGTCGGGCCTGAATTGTTCCTTCACTGTAATGAATGGCAGGGTGAGCCTGAATGCCCCCTTTTCATAATGAACTGTGGGTTGGGCAATAATAGGCGCAGCAAGCCGAGTCATGGCGAGCCAAGTCTTGGGCTCCCTCTCCTAGAAGGTGGCCATTTCGGACATATCTCTGAAGGAGCCATGGGCTGAACAATTTTTTGAGTAGGTTTAGGGAGACTGGGGGGATTGGCAGAAATCACCTCCGGAGTCTCCTTTTTGTTAGTACTTAGTAGACGTGGTTCAGGGTCCTGATCATTAGACTCCTTTCTCTCCTCCTGTGACTCAACCTCATCATTTGTCTGAAAAGGCACCAGTGCTGCATGCAGCAATGACCAAACTGACCAAACAGGCAAAGGAATTTCCTTTCCTTTTCTATTTGTTTTTTAAGGTCCTCTTCAACTCTTTCCCAATTTTTTAATTTCACAGTTCTCTGTTTTTGGAACCAAGCACAAAATTGTTCCACAGCATAAAACAAATCCATAAGATTTTCCGTATCAACTTTTACCCCACCACACTTCAAGAGCTGCCATGGCAAGCTCAAATATGTGGTGTACTTACTTTCAGTTTGTCCCATTTGTGTCCCTAGCTTTCTCCGAGTGCCCTGTTTACCTGCAGAGCTTAAAACTTTTTTGTCCTCAGGAGTCCTTTGTCCATCGGTCCTCCATTTCACACACTTGAGCGTTTCTTCACTGGATTCTTTTGGGTCCCATGTTGGGTGACAAAATGTTGGGGGCACCACCCATAGGGTACCCGAACTCTAGTGGTGACAAAGGAATGAGAAGAGACGGGTCAAGAGTTCTTTAAAATGGGAGCCAGGGGGCCACTTGTAAAATGGAGGCTGCAAAAGGCGCCGAGCTCTGGTTTCCACAGTATTTATTGAGTACAATCACTTAGATCTAAGAAGCAGATGCTCAGGGCGAAACAGTGAAAGGGAGGCAGTACGTCATAGGCGTAATCTACGGTAATAGTGGTTTAAATGAATTTTCTTTGTGTTCAAACAATGTATCTTTAACTTATCAGAGAGTAGTTAGTGGGAGCGGGCTTAACTAGGAGCCTGTACATCTGTCCACATTTTAATGTTTTAAAGGAGTGTCTTTTTTTCTTGAACACTGTGTTTACAGATAAGAGAGCGGATCTCACTCTGAGCATGGGAACATGATGGCAATTAGGAGGCTTTCCTCCTCAGAGGCCTCTTGTGGCTTTCCACAACTTATTGTCCCATATTTTTAGGGCAAGTTTATACAGGCACCCCACAGTCCTTTTTCCCAACAATGTCCTAACCTATTTAAAATTATAGTGGTATCCTAACACACCAGTACCTCAGAGGACTAAACTTTTAATTCAAGTAATATAAAATGCATTTTATTTTGCACATGTTTAAAAAATAAGAAAATGTCAATACTTAAAATAACTAGGTTAGTTTCTTCTTGAAATAGTCAAGAATATTCTTGGGATCTGTGGCTGCCATTCTCCTTAGTGAACTTCTCTTTCATTGCTCATTCCATAAATGTTCTCAACTTTCTCTCTTTTCCCTCTTCTCATTTTATATCAGATATTGGAAATTGGTGACTATACAGACCAAATCTGGTCTACAGATAGTGTATTATAATAGTAATTATTATTTTTTGTCTCTCGCAATACTTGGAAATAAATGGATTTAACATTTAACAATTTGGAGATTATATATGAGATCTGTTTTCAGCTTTTTTGAAAACCTGGACTCTCTGGACCATCTTGGCTGGCACTTCCACCTGTCCATAGTTAGCTTGAGCTGTGTACCAGCTGCTCCTTTGGACAATACATGCTCTGTCCCTTCACCTACCACTGGCTTTGGTATCCTTCGAACACTGAGTCCAAGTCTCGGTTATCACTTATCACACTGAGACTGTTGTTTTTCTTATAGTAGAAAAATATTCCTTGACATTTAAAATTAGAAAATGAAAGACCAAGACAGCTATGTGTTTAAAGGAAAATTAGACATGTCAATGTCCCAATTGCCCAAGAGGGCAAGTCAACCCTCTTCTCCCTGAAAGATTCATTCACTTCCTTAAGATTTAAACTACCATTTTTAATGTTTATAATTCTAAAATATATATCTCCCTTTCATAGTTTTCTCCTAAACTTCTTAGCCATATATTTGTATATATGTATAGGTGTGTATGTATATCCAATTTCTTAGTCAGCATCTCTGTTTGAATGTCTCACAGACACTTTAACCATGACATGCCTGATGTGGACACATCATCTTATTCCCTCGATTTACTCTTCCACCTCTGATCTTTCTTTGTGGTAGACCATATTATCATCCTCAATTGCTCATTCTTCCCTTCCCTGTAAGACCATTAATCTACATCCACTGCCATGTGCATACAGTACTAGCCTTAAGAGGAGCATACTTTCCCACACCATTTAGGCCAGGCTCAGCTACATGACTTGTTTTGACCAGTGAAATGTGAGCAGAATTGACAGTACACCAGTCTGAACAGAAGCTTTCCGTTGTGTAGTTTCACCAGCTCTCTTGCTTTTACTCTCTACCTTGAGAACTATAAATCACAGGTGAGTGATGCTTCTGCCAACTGGATCCTGGAGTGAAAGAACGACTAAATTGCTGGATAAAATATTTACATATATATATTTATATTCAATTTCAACTTTTACTTTAAATACAGGGGGTATATGTGCAGCTTTGCTACAAGAGTATTGTGAGTACATTGTGTGGTGTTGAGGTTTGGGGTGTAGATGTCATCACCCAGGTTGTAGTAAACATAGTACCCAAAGGGTTGTTTTTCACCCCGTGGGCTTCTCCTTCCCTCCCCTGTCTAGTAGTTCACAGTGTTTATTGTCCCGATCTTTAGTTCCACGTGGGCTCAATGTTTAGCTTCCAATTACAAGTGAGATCGTGCAATATTTGGTTTTCTGTTCTTGTGTTAATTTCCTTGGGATTATGGCCTCCAGCTGTATCTATGTTGCTGCAAAGGACATGACTTCGTTCTTTTTAAATAGCTGCATAGTATTGCATAGTGTATATGCACCACATTTTCTTTATCCGTAGATAAAATATTTTTAAATGTATAATTATAAGGAAAGTGAGGGAACTTCACTAAGACCTGAAGCAATAAGAAACTGTGAATCTCTTTCTAGGTCAGTGCTGAAGTCAGCATTTGCACTAACAGCATCTGCTCATCCTTGGTGATTTAAAGTTTCATATTTTGGTGGACTGATAATCACAGACAGGAACACTTGGGCTCCTGTGCAAGGTGAGAGACTGGAGCAAGACTCAGAGGCAAATCCAGGAATTCTAAAAGGAACAGATTCCAGGGATGAATTCTCTTATTCAGGAAAATGGAGAGAATAAGAATGCTTGCCTTTTTTTGGCTTTGGCCATGAGTACACAGGGAAAAAAAAATTCTTTCTTTGAGAATTCTCAGTATGCTTTCCTTTTGGTTTGGGGTCACATTCCCTGTATGCCTGGAAAAAAACCCATGCCACAAATTTATGTAAAAGTGGTCCTGGGCTAGTAGTACACACAGGTTCCTGGCATTTTAGCAAACTCAAATTCTCTATGGTGGTACATGCTTGAAACTCAGGCCACAAAGAAGTCATACTGATAAAGTTTAGAGAAACGTGAGTTCACAAAAATATTTGAAAAGCACTTGGAAAAACAAGCTACCGCTGGCAAAATTTAGCAGAACAACAAAATGAAGAATCAGATTCACAAAGTGGCATATATTTGAATGTTTAAAGACAATACAAAATAAGGGTTTAAAATATTTATCAGAATATAAGAGGATAGCTTCAGGGCCTTGACCAGTCTCCTTTCCATAGATACCAAGATAGGAAATATTGCTTTAGAGAGTAGTGGGTTTTTTTGTTTTTGTTTTTGTTTCTCAAGTCCTTTTATTATTCATTTTTAACAACAGCCCAGGGATAGGGAACCAGGGGAAGTGGAAAGGGGAGAAGGGAGCCCCTACAACCCCTCCCAACTCACCCCTTCCCCTATTATGTATTTATAATCTATATGTAAGCCCCAGGGGTGAGAGGAAAAGGGAACTCCCTCACTGGAGTGGGGTAACCCATAGAGTGAAGTTATATTTAGGCTTTGAGTGACATTCATTCTATGCTTCTGTGCCTGAGGTCTTTGCAAGAGTAAATGGTACAGTTTGGGTGTGATTTTTTCTCTCTTGGTGTGCTTATAGCGATAAACTAACAGTAAAACTATTTTACTTTTACAGCTGGTATTAGTGTAGTTTCTTATAAATTCATATTTTTTGGGGGAAGAAAGAGTAACGCACTTAAGTGGACATTAACTCATAAAATATTCAACCCTATTACACAATACTAAATAATTTTCCATTTTCTGAACTATAATTTCATGATAAAACTCTGGATTTGAACCGTTTATTCCAGGTATAAATAAACAATAAAATACAAAAATGTGTTTTAAAATTATCTTTCTTCTGTTTCTGACTTCTTCAAGCTCAATAAATATTAAACATTAAGAGTTGTCACTTGCAAAGAATGAAACATTTTAAATGACCAGCTTAATTTTAAAAAATACTTTATAATTTATAAAACAGAAGCTCATTTTCATTAGAAAAATTTTATTAGTTCAGATTCACACAAGTTTAAGTATAAATAAGAGAAAGTTAGGATTAAATAATACTTGAGAATAAAGGCAAAGTCTTCTCACATTTTTAAATACAACACAAACTTGAAGAACAAAGCATTTATTAAGAGATCCTTGAGAAATTACTTTAAGAACAGATAAGACAGATTAGCAGGTACCCCATGTACATGAGTGCCTCTATAGTTTGTTCATTTAGATAAGTCAAAAATTCTCACTTGAGATCTTGTTTATTAATTAAAATATTAGTAAACTATTTCTTCATGAGTTGTTTGTTTGTTTGTTTTTGAGATGGAGTCTTACTCTGTCACTAGGCTGGAGTACAGTGGCGTGATCTTGGTTCACTGCAACCTGTGCCTCCTGGGTTCAAGCTATTCTCCTGCCTTAGCCTCCCGGGTAGCTGGGACTACAGGCTCGCACCACCACGCCCTGCTAATTTTTGTATTTTGGTAGAGACAGGGTTTCACCATGTTCACCAGGATGTTCTCCATCTCTTGACCTTGTGATCTGCCCTCCTCGGCCTCCCAAAGTGTTGGGATTACAGGCGTGAACCACCACGCCCGGCCTCTTCATGAGTTTTTAATGATTCCTGGCTCATATTTGAAGTCAATGTCAGCTAAAAAAGCTATAATAACTAATGGGTTTCTCACAGAATCTACTATCATACAATTTAGTGTCCTGCAATAGAAAGTATAAATCTCAAAGAGCACACACGTAACTACTTGAGCAGAGGAGTGAGCCAGTATCTGGCTTCCTGGAAGACTGTACTGTAAGTATGGAGCTGTCTTCTCTTTTGGTCTTCTGCTTCTCTCATCATTCAGGTGAATTCACTCATCCTCACCTTCAGGCTTCAGATCTGCTTCTTGGGGGACTGGTTTTTGCTTTAATATAACTCCATAGGAGACCTAAAGGTAAATCAAAGAGTTGGCTTTCAGTTCCCTGCGCCTCTTGCATGCTCCTCTTTTATGGTTGTGATCACTAATGCTCAGTCACTTGTTCGAGTTCTTGCCTTCAACTTCCAAGACCTTTGTTGCCTACTGTTAAGATGACTTCTTGGGTAATCAATATGTTCTCCTTGTCCTTGTCAATATTTACTAGGTGACTAATCCTATAGACCTTGCCTGTGTTCCCAGTTCTGATTACTCTGCTGGAGACTTCCAAGTTGGCCTGCTTAGCTGTATCATCTCTCATTCAGATCTGACGTATAGCAGGAGCCAGATTGACTGAAACTGAGGGGTTACATAAAATTCAGCATTAAGTAGGACAGATGAGTATTAGAAAGCAGAAGAGGTCCCACCACATAAGGCAATACTAAAACAAGTATTGAGATTGGGAGCATTCAAGGAATAAATTAGGGAGAAGAGACACGGAGCAATGGAAAAGTGAGAGATTTTGGTTAAATATGGACATATTGGAAGCTTTTGCCTGGTCTTCCAGGGATATTTGCAACATGTGGCATTTAAAAGCTGGGGTGAGCAGGTACCCAATTCTAATTCTGTGCTGATAACCTCCTCCCACCCATAGTGTGGGAATGGTGCATGTGCCCTGGCCATGTATGGATCATTTGAATCACTATTTAGTGAATTATGTCTTAGAATCTCAGCTTTTTAGAGGTTAAATGGTCTTTAAAAATATTCCATCACGGATTATGTTTCTGTTTTTTTGTTGTTGTTCACTTTTTATTGAAAATATGCATTCAGAAAAGCATACAAATAAATGTACAATTTCTGGAATTTTTATACTGAACACATTCTAATCACCATTCAAGTCAAGTTATAGAATGTTTTCAGTACCCTAGAAGCTTCCCTTGTACTCACCTTCAGGCATTATTCAACCCCACAGGTAACTAATATTTTGACTTATATTAAAGAGACTTTTAAAAATATTGTTCTTTTATAAGTCTAATGCTTTTAGGAAATGTTTAAATATTAAACAAATATTCCCCTAAGCACTTACTGTGCACTAAACGATAGGGATTTTAAAAAGAATAAAATGTCACCTTTGCCTTCTAAAAAGATGAGCTGAAAATGTTTTCTGCGAAAGTCCAGAGGGAAAATATTTTAGACTGCTTGGGCCACATGGTCTTTCTCATAATTATTCAGAGACATCAGTCTAAAGTGTTGTCTAACCCTTCTCCTGTTTGCCTTGAGAATACTCACTGGTGGCACTTACAGCTGCAGCATTTGCTCCTAGATAACTTTGCTACGAAATATCTGGCTTTTATTATTATTTTCACTTTGTCTATGTATATTGACTTTGGAAACAAAAGACATAATTCTATTTATGGCATTCTGTTTTTAGTAGTGGCATTTCCATTTACAAAATACAGTAATTCTTGATCACTGAATGTGTCAAATCCTAGAAAACATAGCATTCCTACATGTGATATTAACATCATTCTCAAACAGATATTGGCCCAAGAATCATTTGATGAATCCGATTTTTCCAAAATAGGTGATTCTGATGTTAGTTCTGTTTATAAATAACTCCAAAAATAGTTTTTATATTTTATTTTCACCTTAAAATTAGTCATATTTGCTTCAGCCTCAAAGAGCATGTTCATGTAAAATTAAATGAGTGCTGGCAGTGAGCTGCACTTTTTTTTTCTCAACAGGTAAAGGGTTAAAAGCAACCCCAGAAATGAATAAATGTGGCTGTGTCCCAATAAAACTTTATTTATGGAAACTGAAATTTGAATTTTATATAATTTTTACATGCTATGAAATGTTCTTCTTTGAGCTTATTTGCCCAACCATTTAAAAATGTAAAAGTTACTCTTAGCTTCTTGGTTGTACAAATGCAGGCAGTGGGCTGTATTTGGACTGTGGGCCTAGATTACCAACCCTGCTTTAAGAGTTCAAGATTTAAGGTAATCTAGAAGGGGATAGAAGAAAATAAGCAGATACTCTAATTTTAAACACTACATTAAGTCTTTTTAGAGTGGTACCTTCACAGTTTTATTGGAGTTCATTAGTGAGAGGGACTGACTCTATCCAAGTGTGTTGGGGAAGATTTCATGAAACAAAATGAGGGAGCAGCACCCTGCTTTAGCTGTAGGTTGTCAGGACCTCTCTGGAGAGGAACGATTTGAGCTGAGAACTGAAGGGTGAGGCAGAGTGGCAATGGGAGAGCTGGAGGTCACGCCTTCCAAGCAGGAGGTAAAGCACATGAGAAGGTGCTGAGAGGGCCTCTGGCACATGGGAGAGGAGGAGTGCCTAGTGGGTGTCAGGCATTCAATAAATGTACCTATTGTTATAACCATCATGACCCCTTTTAGACCGAGAAACTAAGGAGTGAAGAAGAATTAAGTCCATGAGGCTCACATTCATTAAGACAAATATATTTTATTTATGCATCATATGCTATTCATTTTATTTTTAAAGTATCTGTTAAAATACACTCAAATACAAAGATATTTTAAAAATTGGTCATTCAGACGCAGACTGAGCACCACATGCTGACCACTTTACTGTACTTTTCATTGTAAGATGAAATAGAAAGATGCCTCACTTTGGGGAATGTACCATCTAGAGGAAGAAGAAAATGCTATAATACAAGTATGAGCACTTATTGGGTTGGAAGAGCCAAATTTGGGGGAGATAAGATGTTTTAGGCTAGGGGTACCAGTCCGTGGGCTACTAGGAACCAGACTGCACAGCAGGAGGTGAATGGCTGTGGGTGAGCAAGCGTTACTGCCTGAGCTCTGCCTCCTGTCAGATCAGCAGCTCCTAGAGTCTCATAGGACAGTGAACATTGTGAACTGTGCATGTGAGGGATCTAGCTTGTGCCTTCTTATGAGATTCTAATGCCTGATGATCTGTCACTGTCTCCCATCACCCCCAGATGAGACTGTCTAGTTGCAGGAAAACAAGCTCAGGGCTCCCACTGATCCTATATTATGATGAGTTGTATAATTGTTTCATTATATGTTACAATGTAATAATAATATAAATAAAGTGCACAATAAATGTAATGCACTTGCATCATCCCAAAACCACCCCCCACATCCCCCACCTCCGTCTGTGGAAAAATTTTCTTCCATGAAACTTGTCCCTGGTGTCAAAAAGGTTGGAGACCACTGTTTTAGGTTATACAGCCATACAAAGCAAGCTGTAATGAATTAATAAAAATCTTTTTCTATTCCAAGGCAAGAGGAAAGAATGATGGGTTAAAACATAGCCCTCACTAACTAATAAACAGCAAAATACAATTTCACTAGTAGAGATGCCTTTTTCCTTACTCTGTAAGTTAAAAGTGATACAAGGTTTTATCTTGTTTTATGTTTTCCTGAATCTTTCTATTAAAGACTCACATTCATGGAGTGACAGCATAATAAATGTTGTCCTCAAAAACACTTTTCTCAGAGCCATTGGATAAAGAGACATTTCTAATCCCAATCCTAGATGGAAACAGAGGACATCACATTAGTGGGGCTTTACACCCACTGTGGTCCAGATACAATACCCTAATCTTTTCTTCCTCCAGCTTTTCACTGAACTGTTGGCATTTTTCTCATTTATCATGTAGTTTCCCACCTTCCAAGATTCCCTCTAGGGTGCCATTCATTATTGCCAAATAATCTTAATATTTCCAGTTATGTTATAGTTATCCATTGAGACTGAGTTCAGGCATCAATTCCCAGAAGCATTCCCTAAAAATCCATACTGAGCCTTTTAGCCTGCTTTGTTTGGCACTGTATCTGTACCACATTACTGTACTTGCTATATTATGTTGAAATTATCAGCATATTGGTCAATTTGATATATTTCCTGCAAACTAGATTATAAGCTCCTAGAAGAAAAGAGCCATGCATTTTTGTTAATTGTCATATATCTGGCACTTAGAAGAGTAGGTACACATTAAATATTTACTGATACTCTAAGTTTGATAAGCCTTTGGAGTAACAAACCTGAGTTACACAAGCTGATTTTGTTGCATTCTGATGATCTGACTTGATAAAGGGATTTAACACAATAAATCATGAATGCGTCTCCTTAGAAGAGGCCTCTTCCATATCAAGAGTGTCTATTTACCATAGGTCTATTCTGCAGATGGTATAAAATTGAGATAATTGGCACACATCTAAGTTCACATGTTTGTGTTTTTCTCATCTGGCTTATACTCCTGTGGTGATTCTTCTCCTCTAGGGAAAGTCATTATTTCCTCTTCTTAAGCTCTCTCTGTAAATGTGTGGTGTGGGCTGAAAGTTTATGTTCCCACCCCCCCCCCACCAAATTTATATTAGTTTGATGCAAACAAATTGTGGTTTCAGACCGTGAATTTTAAATTATTATAACTAAGCTCAAACACGTCTTTGTTAATTAAAGTAGGGACCATTACAATCAACACATTTTTTGCCAATGAGAAATAAGTTTATTTAGTCCTGTAGCATAAAAATTCATGCTTTGGGATTTGATGAACTCTTGGAGAGCATTTTCTGCATCCTACTGGTTGTGGAAGCATTTTCCCTGCAAAAAGTTGTTGAAATGCTTGAAGAAGTGATAGTCAGTTGGCGAGACATCAGGTGAGTATGACGGATGAGGCAAAACTTTGTGGCAGAATTTCTTCAACTTTTGAAGCACTGGTTGTGGGATATGCAGTCTGGCATTTTCGTGGAGAAGAATTGGGCCCTATCTGTTGACCAATGCTGGCTTCAGGTGTTGCAGTTTTTGGTGCATCTCATCGATTTGCTGAGCATACCTCTCATATGTAATGGTTTTGCTGGGATTCGGAAAACTTAGTGGATCGGACTGGCCGCAGGCCACCAAACAGTAACCATGACCTTTTTTTGGTGCAAGTTTGGCTTTGGGAAGTGATTTGGAGCTTCTTCTTGGTCCAACCACTGAGTTTGTCATTGCCAGTTGTTGTATAAAATTCACTTTTTGTCACACGACACAATCTGATTGAGAAATGGTTCACTGTTGTTGTGTAGAATAAGAAGATGACATTTCAGGCCAGGTGTGGTGGCTCACACCTGTAATCTTAGCACTTTGGGAGGCTGAGGCAGGCAGATCACGAGGTCAGGAGATCGAGACCATCCTGGCTAACACGGTGAAACGCTGTCTTTACTAAAAATACAAAAAATTAGCTGGGCGTGGTGGTGGGCGCCTGTAGTCCCAGCTACTCAGGAGGCTGAGGCAGGAGAATGGCATGAACACAGGAGGCGGAGCTTGCAGTGAGCTGAGATCAGGCCACTGCACTCCAGCCTGGGTGACAGAGCGAGACTCCACCTCAATAAAAATAATAATAATAATAAAAGAAGATGACATTTCAAAATGACGATATGTTTGATTTTCCATCAGCTCCTGAGGCACCCACTTATCTAGCTTTTTCACTTTTTTTATTTGCTTCAAATGCCAAATGACCATAGAATGGTCAACATTGAGTTCTTTGGCAACTTCTTGTGCAGTTGTAAGAGGATCAGCTTTGATGATTGCTCTTAGTCCTTGTCAATTTCCGATGGCTGGCCACTACGGTCCTCATCTTCAAGGCTCTCGTCTCCTTTGCAAAACTTGAACTGCCACTGCACTGAACATTCATTAGCAGTTCCTGGGCCAAATGCATTGTTGATGTTGTGAGTTGTCTCTGCTGCTTTATGACCCATTTCAAACTCAAACAAAAAAATCACTTGAATTTGCTTTTTGTCTAACATCATTTCCATATTCTAAAATAAACATGAACAGCAAGTAATAAGTCATTAGCAAAAAAAAAACATAAAGCGAGAAATGCACATTAAAATGATGTACAAATAAGCACATTTATTTAAGAATGTATTCTAATATCAAACGGCAAATTTAAACAGTGCAAAAACTGTAATTACTTTTGCACTGGCAGTGAGAATTTCAAGCCAGTGGATCTTAGCTTGTTGGGCTCTGTCGGGGTGGGATCCACTGAGCAAGACCACTCAGCCCCCTGGCTTCAGCCCCCTTTCCAGGGGAGTGAATGGTTTTGTCTCACAGGCATTCCAGGCACCACTGGGGTACAAGAAAACCAAAACAAACAACAACAACAAAAAACAACAAAAAAACTCCTGCAGCTAGCTCAGTGTCTCAGTGTCTGCCCAAACAGCCATCCAGCTTTGTGCTTGAAGCTCAGGGCCCTGGTGGTGTAGGCACCAGAGGGAATCTCCTGGTCTGTGGGTTGCAAAGACAGTGGGAAAAGTGTAGTATCTGGGCTGGATAGCTCTGTCCCTCATGGCTTCCCTTGGCTAGTGGAGGGAGTTTCCCCAACCCCTTTTGCTTCCCGGGTGAGGCAATGCCCCACCCTGCTTCTGCTCACCCTCCGTGGGCTGCACCCACTGTCTAACCAGTTCCAGTGAGATGAGCCAGGTATCTCAGTTGGAAATGCAGAAATCCCTTGCCTTCTGCATTGATCTCGCTGGGAGCTGCAGACTGGAGCTATTCCTGTTTGGACATCTTGCCTGGAGATAGCATTTTTATATTATAGAATCATGTCATCTGAGGACAGAGAACTTCATTAATTGAATACATTTAATAATTTACTTTTTCCCCCAATTTGGATATCTTTCATTGTTTGTTTTGACTAAGGGCTCTGGTTAGGACATCCAATACTATGTTGTATAAAACAGTGAGACTGGGCATCCTTGTCTCTTTGTTCTAATCTTAAATGAAAAACTTCAGTTTTCACTATTAAGTATAATGTTAGCTGTGGGCTTCTCATAAATGGCCTTTATTATGTTGAGGCAGTTTCTTTGTTCCTGTGTTGCTAAGTGTTTTTTAAAATTATTATTATTATGAGAGTTTGTTGAATCTTGTCAGATGCTTTTTCTGCAATTGAGATAATCATGTTGTTTTGTCCTTCATTCTGTTAATGAAGTGTATTACATTAATCTATTTCTGTGTGTTAAATTATCCTTGCATTCCAGGAATAAATCCTACTTGTTCATGGTTGATATGGTTTGGCTGTGTCCCCACGCAAATCTTGTCTTGAATTCTAGTTCCCATAATCCCCACACGTTGTGGGAGGGACCCAGTGGGAAGTACTTGAATCACAGAGGTGGGATTTTTTTTGTGCTGTTCTCATGATAGTTAATAAGTCTCATGAGATCTGATGGGTTTAAAAAGGGAAGTTCTTGGGAGGCTGAGGCAGGTGGCTCACCTGAGGTCAGGAATTCAAGACCAGCCTGGTCAACATGGTGAAAACCCATCTCTACTAAAAATACAAAAATTAGTGGGGCATGGTGGTGGGTGCCTGTAACTCTAGCTACTTGGGAGGCTGAGGTAGGAGAATTGCTTGAACTTGGGAGATGAAGGTTGCGGTGAGCTGAGATCAAGCCACTGCACTCCAGCATGGGCAACACAGTGAAACTCGGTATCAAGAAAAAAAAAAAAGGATGTTCCCCTGCACAAGCTCTCTTTCCTGCCGCCATGTAAGATGTGCCTTTGCTTCTCCTTCGCCTTCTGCCACAATTGTGAGGCCTCCCCAGCCATGTGAAACTGTGAGTCCATTAAACCTCTTTTTCTTTATAAATTACCCAGTCTCAAGTGTTTCTTCATAGCAGTATGAAAATTGACCAGTACAGTGGTGTATACCCCTTTTAATGTGCTGTTAAACTTGGTTTGCTAATATTAATATTTTGTTGATTTTTGAATCAATATTCATCAGGGATATTGATCTATAGATTTCTTCTTCTTTCTTCTCTCTTCTTCCTTCTTCCTTCTCCTCCTCCTTCCTCCTCCTCCCCCTCCTCCTCTTGCCCTTCCTCCTCCTCCTCTTCATCCTCCTCTTCTTCTTTCTTCTTCCTCCTCCTCCCCCTCCTCCTCTTCCTCATCCTCCTTCTTTTTCTTTTCCTCTTCCTCCTCCTCCTTCTTGTTCTTCCTTCTCCTCCTCATCCTCTTTCTTTTTCTTTTCCTCTTCCTCCTCCTCCTTCTTCTTCTTCCTCCTCCTCCTCCTCCTCTTTTTCTTCTCCTCCTCCTCCTTCCTTTTCTTCTCCTTCCTCTTCTGCTTTTGCTGCTTCTTCTTCATTGTCATCGTCATCGTAGTTGTCTGTAGTGCCTTTGTCTGGCTTTGGTATCAGGTAATGCCTCATAGAAGAATCTTGGAAGTTCCCTCCTCTTCAATTTTTTGGAAAAGTTTTAAAAGAATTGATGTTACATCTTTAAATGTTTTGTAGAATTCTCCAGTGAAGCCATCTTTTCCTGGGCTTCTCTTTATTAGGAGGTTTTTGATTACTGATTCAATCTCTTTACTTTTTATTGGCCTGTTCAGATTTTCTATTTCTTCATGAGTCAGTCTTAGTAGTTTTTATATGTCTAGGAATTTATCCATTTCTTTTAGGATATTCAATTTTTTGGTATGTACTTGCTTATGTTATTCTTTTACAATTTTAAATATGTGTGGCATCAGTTGTAATATCCCCTCTTTGTTTCTGATTTTAGTTGTCTTTCTTTTTTTTAACATAATCTGCTTAAGAGGCTTTCCATTTTTTTGATCTTTTGTAAAACATTTTTTCGTTTTGTTGATTTTTTTCCTTTTGTTTGCCTATTCTTGCTTTATTTATCTCTGCTCTAATTTTTATTATTTTTTTCCTTCTGCTAATTTTGGGCTCAGTTTTTTTCCCCTAGTTTCCTTAGGTGCAGTGTTAGGTTGTTAATTTTTTTTTTAAATGTATGCATTTACAGATATAATCTTCTCTCTTAGCACTGCTTTCACTGCATTACATAAATTTTGGTATGTTGTATTTTTATTTTCCTCTGTTACAAGGTATTATATAATTTCCTTTGTTACTTCTTCTTTGACCCATAGGTTATTTAAGAGTCCACTGTTTAGCTTTCACATATTTGTAGATTTTTTAGTTTACCTTGTGCTTTTTATTTACAGTTTCATTCTATTGTGATTGAAAAAATACTTTGTATGATTTCAGTAAACTTGAAATTGTTGAAGATTTGTTTTATGGCCCATTAAAGCTTCATTTTCTGCCTTAATATGTAGTCTATCTGGGGGAATGTTCTATGTGCACTTGAGAAGAATGTATATTCTGCTGCTGTTGGGTGGAATGTTCTGTATATGTCTGTTAGGTCCAATTGGTTTATACAGACATACCTTGGAGATATTGTGGGTTCAATCACAGACCACAAGATCACAACGAAGCAAGTCACAGATGTTTTGGTTTCACAGCACATATGTTATGTTAACACTATACTATAGTCAAATGTGCAATAATATTATTTCTAAAAAGATGTACATACTTTAATTAAAAAATACTCTATGGCTAAAAAATGCTGATGATTATCTGAGCCTTTAGTGATTTATAATATTTTTGCTTGTGGAGGGTCTTGCCTTTATGTTGATGGTTGCTGACTGATCAGGGTGGTGGTTGCTGAAGGTTGAAGTGGCTGTGGCAATTTGTTAAACTAAGACAACAGTAAAATTTGCTATCTCAATTGACTCTTTCTTTCATAAAATATTTCCCTGTAGCATGCAATGCTTCTTGATAGCATTTTACCCTATAGTAGAATTCTCTTAAAATTGAAGTCAAATCTCTGCAATGTTGCTACTGATTTATCAACTATGTTTATGTAATTTTCTAAGTTCTTTGTTGTCATTTCAGTAATGTTCATAGCATCTGCACCAGGAATAGACTCCATCTCAGGGAACTACTTTTTATGCTCATTCCTTAAAAGCAACTCTTCATCATTCAAGTTTGATAATGAAATTTTAGCAATTCTGCCACCTCTTTTGATTCCACTTCTAATTTTGTTCTCTTGCTATTTTTACCACTTTTTTAGTTATTTCCTCTGCTGAAGTCTTGAACCTTTCAAAGTTATCCATAAGAGCTGGAATGAACTTTTGAAAATTTCTTTTAATGTTGACATCTTGAACTCTTCCCGTGAATTACAAACGTTCTTAATAGCATCTAGACTGGTGAATTCTTTCCAGAAGGGTTTAAATTTACTTTGCCCAGATCCATCAAATGAATCATTCTTTATGGCAGCTATAGCCTTATAAATGTATTTTTTAAATAATAAGATTTAAATGTTGAAATTACCCCTTGATCTATGAGTTGCAGAATGGATGTTGTGTTAGTAGGCACAAAAACAACATTAATTTCCCTGGATATCCCCATAAAAGCTCTTAGATGACTAGGAGTATTGTCAATGAACAGTAATATTTTAAAACAAAATCTTTTTCTTTGATCAGTGGGTCTCAACAATGGACTTAAAATATTCAATAAGCCATGCTGTCAGTGAATGTGCTGTTATCTAGGCTTTGTTGTTTCATTTATAGAGCACAAGCAGAGTAGATTTGGCATAATTCTTAAGGTTCTAGGATTTTTCAGAATGGTAATAATTTTGCAAAATGGATTTTCAAGTGGTAAATGAGCATTTGTTTCTAGCTAAAGTTACCAGCTGTGTTAACACCTAATTAGAGAGTCATCCTCATTGTAAGAGTCAGTGATTTTCTCCTTAGCTCTGAAAGTGGTAGATGACATCTTCTTCCAATATAAGGTTGTTTTGTCTACATTAAAAATCTGTTGCTAAGTGTAACCACCTGAATTAATGATCTTGGCTACGTCTTCTGGATAACTTGCTACAGTTACTACAAAAGTAATTGCTGCTCCATCTTGCACTTTTATGTTATGGAGTTAATTTCTTTCCTTCAACCTCATGAACCAAACTCTACTAGCTCCCAGCTTTTCTTCTGCAGTTTCCTCACCTCTCTTAGCCTTCGTAAAATTGAAGAGAGTGAGGATCTTGCTCTTGATTAGCTTTGGTTTAAGGGAGTGTTCTGGCTTGTTTGAACTATTCAGACCACTCAAACTGTTTTCCTTTCAGTAAGAAGGCTGTTTTCCTTTCTTATTATTCATGTGTTCACTAGAGTAGCACTTTTCGTTTTTTATAAGAATTTTTTTTTTGTTTTTGCATTCACAACTTGCTAACTGGTACAAGAGGACCAGCTTTTGCCCTGTCTCAGCTTTGGACATGCTTTTCCATTAAGCTTAATCATTTGTAGGTTTTGATTTCAAAGCAGATATGTGCAAATTTTTCTTTATTTGAACACTTAGATGCCATGGCAGGATTTCTATTGACCTAATTTCGTTATTTTTGTGTCTCTGAGAATATGGAGATCCAAGGGGATGAAGAGAGATAAGGGATTAACTGGTCAGCAGAGCAGTCAGAACATATACAACATTTATCAATCAGTTTCACTGTTTTATATGGGAATGGTTTGTGGGGCCTCAAATAAATTATAATAGTAACATCAAAGATCACTGACCACAGATCACCCTACAGATATAATAATAATGATGATAAAGGTTGAAATATTGTGAGAATTACTAAAATGTGACATGAGGCACAAGGTGAGCACATACTGTAAGAAAAATGGTTTCAATAGGTTTGCTTGATGCGAGGTTGCCACAAACCTTCAATTTGTAAGAAACACAATATTTGTGAAGCAAAATAAAGCAAACTGTAATAAAATGAAGTACATCTGTGTTATTTAAATCCCCTGTTTTCTTATTGATATTCTGTCTGGTTATTCTATTCACTATTGAAAGTATTGAAGTCTCCTACTACTATTTTGCTGTTATTTCTCACTCCAATTGTGTCAAAGTTTGCTTCGTATATTTTTATTTGGAAACTTGGATATTTGGTGCATAAATACTTATGATTATTATGTCTTTCTGGAAAAGTTACTCTTTTATCATTCTAAATGCCCTTCTTAGTCTCTTATAACAGTTTTTGATTTGAAGGCTGTTTTGTCTACTATACCAATATTAGGCACTAGTATAGCCACTCCTGCTGTTTTTGATTGCCATTTGCATGGAGTATCTTTTCCTATCTTTTCATTTTCATCTTACATGTGTTCTTAGATGTAAAGTGAGTATCTTTTAGAAAGCAGATAGCTGGGTCCTATGTTTTTTATCCATTCAGTCAATCTCTGTTCTTTGATTGGACAGTGTCTTAGTAAGCTCAGGCTGATAAAACAAAATACCATAGACTGGATGGCTTAAGCAATACAAATTCATTTCTCACAGTTCTGGAGGCTGGGAAGTCAGAGATCAAGGTCCCTGCATGGTTAGGGTCTGATGAAGGCCCTTTTTCTGGCTTGCAGACGGCTGCCATCTTGCTGTATCCTCACATGATAGAGAAAGAAGGAGCTCTAATATTTTCCTCTTCTTATAAGAACGTTAATCTGTGGGCCAAGTGTGGTGGCTCATGCCTATAATCCTAGCACTTTGGGAAGCCAAGGTGGGAGGATCAGTTGAGATCAGGAGTTCAAGATTAGCTTGGGCAACATAGCAAGACCTCGTCTCTACAAAAAATAAAATAACTAGCTGGGCATGGTGGCACATGCTTGTAGTCCTAGCTACTTGGGAGACCAAACTTAGGATTTTGAGGCTGCAGTGAGCCATGGTCATACTGATTGCACTCTAACCTGGGTGACAGAGTAAGACCTTATTTCTTTAAAAAAGAGAAAAGAGAAAAAATGGAAAAAAAGACACAATTCTCATGACCTCATCTAAACCTAATTACCTCAAATGATCACACCGCTAACTACTGTCACATTTGGGACTAGGGCTTCATGTGAATTTTAGGGTAACACAAACATTCTGTGTATAACAGACAGTTGATTCTATTTACATTTAAAGTAATTACTGATGATAAAAGAATTACAATTGCCATTTTGTTAACTGTTGTTTGTATATCTTACAGCTTCTCTGTTTCTCCTTTCTCTCTGCTTTTGTGTTTTGTTGATCTTCTGTAATGATGTGCTTTGATTTACTTCTTATTTCCTTTTGGATATATTACATAGATATTTTCTTTGTGGTTTTCATTGCAATTACGTAAAACATCTTAAGTTATAGCATTTTATTTTAAACAGATAACAAGTACGTTTAACACACACAACAACCCTACTTCTTAACAGTTCCACCTCCCCTACTTTATGTTGTTGAGGTTACAATTTACATTTTCATTTTCATATATTGTATTCTCACTAATATGACTTTATAGCTTTTGAATTTTTGTCATTTAAGTTTTATGCATCAAAATTACAATAATACAAGTCACGATATTTGTCTATAAATTTACCTTTACGAGAGTACCTTATATTTTCACATCGTGTCAAATGGCTGTCTACTATCCTTTTGTTTCAACTTGAAGGGCACCTGTTAGTTAACCTTTCTTGTAGAGCAGGTCGAGTGGTAATGAACTCCCTCACCTTTTGCTTGGTCTGGGAAAATCTTAATTTCTCATTCATTTTTGAAGGATGGGATGTTTTTGCTGGATACAGTATTTATTGATGATAGTTTTGTTTTCCTTTCTACACTTTGAATGAATTATTCTACTTCCTTCTAGCCTGCAAAGTTTCTGCTGAGAAATCCCCTGATAATCTTATGGAAACTCCTTTATATGTGATGAATCTCTTTTTTCCTTTCTGTGTTCAAGATTCTTTGTCTTTGGCTTTAAACAGTTTGATTATAAGATACATCTGTGTTGTTCTCTTGGGATTTACATTGGTTGGAGTTTTTTCAGCTTCTTGAATCCACATGTCCGTTTCTTTCTTCAGATCTGGGCTATTTTCAGCCATTATTTTTTCAAATAAGCTCTCTCCCCCTTCTTTCTCTCCTCTCCTCCTAGTATTCTCATATGTATATATTGGTCCACTTAATAGTGTCCCATAGGCTCTTTTCACTTTTCTTTACTCTTTTTTATGTTTGATTCTCTGATTCAATCATCTCAACTGACTTGTCTTCAAGTTTGCTCATTATTTCATCTTAGTGATAAAGTTTGCTGTTTCATTCTTTAAAATACATTTTTAGTTTAATTGTTGAAATTTTCAGCTCCAGAATTTCTGTGTTTAAAAAAAATAGTTTCCATTGACTTGTCCATATTCTAATTTTGGTCACAGATTGTTTTTGGTTTTGTTTAGTCATTTATCTGTATTCTCTTTTAGCTCATTGAGTATTTTTATGATAGTTATTTTAAATTCATTTTTAGACAGCTCACAGATTTATGTTTCTTTAGGATTAGTTTCTGGAGTTTGTTCCTTTGATTGTGCCATGTTTTTTCTTTGTATGCCTTGTAATTTGTTTGTTTGTTTGCTGGGATTTGGGAATTTGAAAAAACAACCACCCTCTCCCAGTTATGTACTGCCTTCAAGCAGGGAAGACTTTGCCTATGAGCCTAGCTAGAAGTGAAAGAGCTTCAAACCTTTTATGATCTCTGGCTCTCTCTGGTGTTTTTCTGAGGAACTGCAGCCTAACATGCTACTAGCCTCTGTTTTCAGCAGCTTCTAAACTCTCCCAGTCAGGTGAGAAAGAGATCAGTCCCCAAGACAGCTCTCAGATAAACCAGAACATTGGAAACGTGGTCAACTCTCCTGTTTTTGGCAAAAGCCCCAATATGGGAGAGGAGTTCTTTCTAATTGTTCTGCAATATGCCATTTAGTGGGAGACACATGAACAGACACATCAAATGCTGCAAATTTCCTTACTTCTTTCTTTGAAATCCTGTCTTGGTTTTACAATGGCTTACTTAAGTGATGTATCTACTCAATTTGCCTCTGTGGTTCTCACAGGATATTCTGTTATTGTCAACTCAGTGTCTATGAGGGAAGGAGAACTTTTAGCTTTCTAGTCTGCCATCTTGCTGAAATGACCTTAAGAGTGGGTGACTTTAAAATATCATACGTGTATAGGAAAAAGGCTGAACATTGTAAGGGAGCTATACAAAAATTGAATTATTGCCTCTTTAATATCACAAAAGAAAATATGTATGTGAAATTTTTTGAAAACATGGGAATTCTCTGTAAATACAAAATTAGTTTCTGCTGCCCCGTCATGTCCACATGTGCAGATGAACCCTTTAGAGATTGAAAAATATGCTATCACTATTGCTGGATTGTTCTATGACAAGAGAAAAGTTTGGAAGTTCAGGCACACAAAGAGTAACAGAAAGAGGGCATTAACTAGATGATTTCATCATTGTAGTTACCTATAAATCTACTTCATTATACAGGGAAGAAAGCTTCATATATCCTAAACTGATTTATCAAATCCAGACTCAATTTTCCTGTTTTTATCTGAAAACCACTACTTGTGGACACTTGAACTTGTTGGTTCTTTAAATGTTCTTTATCCTTCTGCCTGGGATACAGCATAATTGCTTCAATTTCCTATGCTGCCTTCTCCTGGTTAATTCCTACTCAGCTTTTGAGACCCATCCCAGGTGTCTCCACCTCCTTCCACTCCCCACCTTTCACTTCTGGTAAGGGTTTCCTAACTATGAGCTAGATGCACCTTCTATTTTCCCAGGGATAGCACATTGTTCTCTAATTGTCTATATTCTTATTTCTTTCAAATACTAGACTGTGAATTGCTTAAGGCTGGGAATTTATACCGTTAATCTTTGTGGCTTTAGCACTCAGCATTGTGCTTGGCACAAAGTAGCTTAATAATTGTTGAATGAATGTAGGCAAAAAGACAGATCTGAGTTTAAATCCTGGCTGTTCCACTTGCCAGCTCTATGATGCAATGTTACTTGACTTTTGTGTAGCTCTATGATACAGACTTACCACATTTTCAGTCCTTTAGTTTTCTCATCTCTAAAATTAGCTTGACGCCTCCATAAATGTTTGCTGTGAGGATCAAATGAGAGCTTCAGTGTAGAACATTTATGCAGCCTCATAGATAATAAACAGGCAGTAAATGGTAGCTATAATGTAGCTTGTTATCCTTAAATTGCAGATAACAATTAACTAAGGTGAAATGAGAAAAATAAAGTATCTACATGCTTCCACCTAGTTTAATCAACATACTCCAAGATGGGGAACTAAGTAATTAATTCCAAATGTGTATCTTTCAGCAAATTAGTTCTCTATCACTCTTTTGTTTATTTAATACTTTATTAAATGGTTACATTTTTAGCAGCTTCCTTTTTTATAACAACCTTTTTATTGTGGTAAAATACACAAAACAAAAATTGCCTTTTTAAACTTTTTTTTAAGCAGACAAGTCATTAGCATTAGGTGCATTAACATTGTTGTGTAATCATCACCACTATCCATCTCCAGAATGAAATTCTGTACTCATTAAAGAGTAACTCCTCATTTTCCCATTCTCCTCCAGCTCCTGGCAACCACTATTCTACCTTCTTTATCTGTGAATTTGACTATCCTATATATCCCATATAGATGGATTCAAATAGTATTTGTTTGTGAGTAGTTTATTTTGCCTACCATAATGTTTTAAAGGTTTATCCATGCTGTAGCGTGTGTTAATCCCTTCCTTTTTCATGGCTGGATAATATCCCATTGTATTTACATACCATATTTTGTTTATCCACCCATCCTTTGACAGACATTTGGGTTATTTCTATTCTTTTGGCTACTATGAATAATGTTGGGTGCACGAATATCTCTTCAAGACCCTGCTATAAATTCTTTTGAGTATATACCCAGAAATAATGGGATCACCGAATCACATGTTCATCCTGTTTTGATTTGCATATCTCTAATGACTAGTGATCTTGAACATCTTTTCATATGTTTGTTGGACATTTGTGTATTTTCTTTGGGGAAATATCTATTCAAGTCCTTTGCCCAGTTTTTAGTTGCTTTTTTTGAGTTGTAGCAGTTCTTTATATATTTGGGTATTAACACTGTAGCAAATATATGATCTCCTGCAGGCTGCCTTTTCACTCTCCTGATAGTGTCCTTTGATGCACAAAACTTTTTATTTATTTATTTATTTATTTATTTATTTATTTATTTATGAGAAAGAGTCTTGGTCTGTCGCCCAGACTGGAGTGCAGTGGCATGATCTTGGCTCATTGCAACCTCTGCTTCTGGGTCATAAGGAATCCTTCCACCTCAGCCTCCCAATTAGCTGGGACTATAGGCGTATACCACCGTGCCTAGCTAATTTGTGTATTTTTTGTAGAAATGGGGTCTTGCTATGTTGCCCAGGCTTGTGTCAAACTCCTGGGCTCAAGCCCACCTTGGCCTTCCACTTGGCCGACCACTGTGGCCAGCCCTTATTTAATTTTTAAATGTACACCATCAATACCAATTTCTGATCTAAGTAATGTATATAAAATAAGTACTTGGCAAAGAAAAGAAATGATTTTCTCTATTGTCTCACACTATAATGCATTTTCTTTTTCAGAGTGTAGGAGACTTCATGTACTGTTTTATTTGTAGAATTTTCTTGCTTATGTTTTAAAATCAATGCGAGAACAACTTTATTTTGAGGTGAGTTTATTTTGAATTGGATTACTCAAGAAACAAGAACAATTTACAACTCTAAAGCTAACTCGTGAGAACATTGCCTGATTATATTCAGATAATGTTTAAATTTTGCTTCCTTTCTCATGGGTCTGCGTTTTCCTCTTATTACTGTTTTTCAACTGGTCTGTGCCTAAAATCTTATCTCTATATTGTATGGTCCTCAGATCTTCTAGTGCTTACTTCTTATCTTCTATACATCTTATTTAGGCTTCCTACTTCCTGTCCCTTCTATCAACCATCCTCTCTGTCTTTCTTTTATGCTTATCACATCTTGTATTTTGGAAACTTCTACCCACTTACCTCCTCTCTCCCCCAACTGCCAATATATATAAACTTCATCTGTGACCTTATTACTTCTCAGATAATCTATTTTTTAAATAATGACAGCAATAATAATATTAACTAATGAACTAATCTATGCCCAGGTTCTGGTATATTATATTTTTTATATATAATATATATAATACTAACATATATAATATATTATATACAATTGAGGCCAACCTTACAATCACCCCAGTTATTGGCCTAGAGGACTTTTCTACACCACAGCACAGGGAGATGGACCCATATATAGCATGATAATCTCTCTGGTTGTGGGGACATAGATTGGAATTTTGGTTGGCTAAGGCAGATGTGCTAAATGTAGTTATGCATGAATAAGGTGAAATTTTATGAGGTAAAGAAGAATTGGTCATCTTTAGGTTGAGCATTTTCCTGAGTTCACATAGGGCCAAGAGATTTCAAGTTCTGAGTATCCAGCGTAAAAAGATCTCGTTGTATGCAGGGAATACAGTAAAGACCCTGGAAACATGGCACTGTGGTAGAAGGGCTAAACTAGCACTAGCACGGAGGCTACTCAAGCCCCACCATACCAATGCATAAAAGCAAGTCTCAAAAGACTTACACTGGTTCATAAATAACTACCAGCCAAATACAATACTTTCATTGGAAAAATATATAATATAATATATAAAATTATCTCGCTATTTTGCCCTGGCTGGACTTGAGCCACTGAGCTCAAGTGATCCTCCCACTTCAGCCTCCAGAGTAACTAGAACTACAGACAGGGACCGCTGTGCCAGGCCCCTCATTTTTGAATGAGAAAAGATTCAGGAAGGGTAACTTTGAATTAAAAGTATTGATATTATTTCTATATATGTGTGATTAATAAAAGTGAAGGCTAAGGAAAGAGTTTCAGCGAATATTCATTTACATTTTCTCCAGATTTGTGATATCCTCTCCCTTCAACACACATGTATTACCTCATACAGATATTTCATAGTTGCTATAATGCATTCATAATGGTCAGTTCTGCTCTTAGTGAAAATAGATGCATTTTTAGTGTTGGGGTAATTTATAGAATACCCTCAGCCTGTCCTCTCTCTCTCTTCTCTCTCTCTTCTTTACATCTAACTGTGGAGATCTGTTTTTAATCAATCTACGTCTGCAGAACAAGTTTGGTCTTTGTAAAATTAATTAATTAATTTGTGTTTATCTTCAGAGACTTTACATTTTGGTAGGAGTTTTACTCATCAGAAGAATAATTTTTCAAGCAGTTTGACTTTAGGTTCCCAATTTAAAATTTAGGTTTTTAAACATAATTAGTAAATCACTGGCTGCTCTCTTTTTCTTTCTTCCCTAAAAAAGGTTCAATTATGAGTTCCTTTTATATAATCACTATTCATTCAAACAATATTACAATAATTCTTTACTATTTTATTAGTAAAATATGACACATTTGTCTGGTTATGTAGTTAATTACTAAAATGACAGCTATTACATTTTGATTCTGTTGTCCTATGCTGCCATGGATTCCAACCACAGTCTGTCCAGTAAAAAATCTAAAAACCTTCCAGCATGATGCCTTCTTCCTCTTTTGAGGCTCTTCTCTTAGTCCTGCTTGCACTTGCTGACTGTTGTTCTTTTCAAGAAACCTGGACAGAGGAGAAGTAAACTGTTGAAAAGTTAGGCACACAGGCTTGAGAATTAAACATGTTTAAGTTTAAGCCCTAGCTCTACCCCTTGTTAGTAGTATGACTCTGAGAAAGTTTCTTAAATGGTCTAAGCTGTGGTTTCCTCATCTTCAAAATAAGAATCATGACATCAGTCGGGTTTGTAATCTAATGAACTAATATCTATAAAGCACAAGTACTGTACTTGGCACTTTGAGTCAATTGATAAGCTTCAGAAGGTCTGTGAACATCATGACACTCTAATGTTTTCAGTTGCAATTTTCTTTTTCTTTTAGACAGAATCTGACAGAGTAAGACTCTGTCACCCAAGTTGAAGCGCAGTGGCGATCTCAGCTCACTGCAGCCTCCACCTCCAGGATTCAATTGATCCTCCTGCCTCAGCCTCCCAAGTAGCTGGGATTACAAGCATGTGCCACCATGCCCAGCTAATTTTTGTACTTTCAGTAGAGACGGAGTTTCACCATGGTAGCCAGGCTGGTCCCAAACTCGTGACCTCAAGTGATCCACCTGCCTTGGCCTCCCAAAGTGTTAAGATTACAGGCGTGAGCACTGTGCCCAGCTGCAATTTCATTTTTATAGCCTTGAAAATGGTCTTTGTGAAAAAAAGACAGTGGAAAAATTGTTATTAAGGTATTGCATCACTTCAAAAATATGTAGACTGCTTCTCCTTTAATTATCAAATATAATTGGTAATCAGCTCTAATATGAGTTCTAGCAAATATTCCCAATAATAGTAATTATAAGAAATGCACCCTAGCATTTTGCATAGGGACATCTCTGACTATATTTGGCCTAGTTTAGATTGAAGGATGCCAAGGAAAATAAGGTACAAAGAAACTTGCCTATTCTTTGGGTTTCTGACCAGCAGTGAATGTGATAAACATAAAAATTCCTAAATCTTTTGAACAAGTTTCTTTTTTAATGAGTGCATTGATTCCTAAAGATCCTTTATGTCCACTTTGAAATATGTTGGAAAGAATAGATTTTATTTATGAAAAAACTTTTGATTTGAATGGAGATTTTCCAAAACTTAAAAACTATGTACCAGTTGACATAAAGACTAACATTAATAATAATAATATTAAAACAATGACAGTAAAATTAAAAAATAAAAGAGAGAAAAACAAAGCAATAATAAATATTAGACAAATGAAAATAAAGGCATCAAAGAAATATAGCAGGCATAAAAGACAGTATTTTTGTCTACCCAATATCCTTTCTGTCTTTTTTTTTTTTTTAACCAACGAACCTCAAATTTTGCTTGGGATGCCACATTGCCTGCTAGAAAAAAAATCCATATTTCTAACTTTTCTTGCATAGAGGGGGCCATATAAGATCTCCATCTGTTGGGACATAATCAGAAATCTGCTGTGGATGCTGGTAAATTTTTTTTCTTTATACTGGTGCTGCCTTTTCCTCCTAGTTGCTTCTTTATTCCTCCTAGTTGCTTCTTTATTCTTCTTTCTGACAGAATCAACTTTATTTTATTTTATTTTATGATTATTATACTTTAAGTTTTAGGGTACATGTGCACAATGTGCAGGTTTGTTACATATGTATACATGTGCCATGTTGGTGTGCTGCACCCATTAACTCGTCATTTAGCATTAGGTATATCTCCTAATGCTATCCCTCCCCCTCCCTGCACCCCACAACAGACCCCAGTGTGTGATGTTCCCCTTCCTGTGTCCATGTGTTTTCCTTGTTCAATTCCCACCTATGAGTGAGAACATGCGGTTTTTTGTGAGAACATTTTGGTTTTTTGTCCTTGTGATAGTTTGCTGAGAATGGTGGTTTCCAGTTTCATCCATGTCCCTACAAAGGACATGAACTCATCATTTTTTATGGCTGCATAGTATTCCATGGTATATGTGCCACATTTTCTTCATCCAGTCTATCGTTGTTGGACATTAGGGTTGGTTCCAAGTCTTTGCTATTGTGAATAGTGCCACAATAAACATACGTGTGCATGTGTCTTTATAGCAGCATGATTTATAATCCTTTGGGTATATACCCGTAAGGGGATGGCTGGGTCAAAGGGTATTTCTAGTTCTAGATCCCTGAGGAATCGCCACACTGACTTCCACAATGGTTGAACTAGTTTTCAGTCCCACCAACAGTGTAAAAGTGTTCCTATTTCTCCACATCCTCTCCAGCACCTGTTGTTTCCTGACTTTTTAATGATCGCCATTCTAACTGGTGTGAGATGGTATCTCATTATGGTTTTGATTTGCATTTCTCTGATGGCCAGTGATGATGAGCATTTTTTCATGTGTTTTTTGGCTGCATAAATATCTTCTTTTGAGAAGTGTCTGTTCATATCCTTTGCCCACTTTTTGATGGGGTTGTTTGTTTTTTTCTTGTAAATTTGTTTGAGTTCATTGTAGATTCTGGATATTAGCCCTTTGTCAGATGAGTAGGTTGTGAAAATTTTCTTCCATTCTGTAGGTTACCTGTTCACTCTGATGGTAGTTTCTTTTGCTGTGCAGAAGGTCTTTAGTTTAATTAGATCCCATTTGTCAATTTTGGCTTTTGTTGCCATTGCTTTTGGTGTTTTAGACATGAAGTCCTTGCCCATGCCTATGTCCTGAATGGTATTGCCTAGGTTTTCTTCTAGGGTTTTTATGATTTTAGATCTAACATGTAAGTCTATAATCCATCTTGAATTAATTTTTGTATAAGGTGTAAGGAAGGGATCCAGTTTCAGCTTTCTACATATGGCTAGCCAATTTTCCCAGCACCATTTATTAAATAGGGAATCCTTTCCCCATTTCTTGTTTTTGTCAGGTTTGTCAAAGATCAGATGGTTGTAGATACGTGGCATTATTTCTGAGGGCTCTGTTCTGTTCCATTGATCTATATCTCTGTTTTGGTACCAGTACCATGCTGTTTTGGTTACTGTAGCCTTGTAGTATAGTTTGAAGTCAGGTAGCATGATGCCTCCGGCTTTGTTCTTTTGGCTTAGGATTGACTTGGCAATGCAGGCTCTTTTTTGGTTCCATATGAACTTTAAAGTAGTTTTTTCCAATTCTGTGAAGAAAGTCATTGGTAGCTTGATGGGGATGGCATTGAATCTATAAATTACCTTGGGCAATATGGCCATTTTCACAATATTGATTCTTCCTACCCATGAGCATGGAATCTTCTTCCATTTGTTTGTATCCTCTTTTATTTCATTGAGCAGTGTGGTTTGTAGTTCTCCTTGAAGAGGTCCTTCACATCCCTTGTAAGTTGGATTCCTAGGTATTTTATTCTCTTTGAAGCAATTGTGAATGGGAGTTCACTCGTGATTTGGCTCTCTGTTTGTCTGTTATTGGTGTATAAGAATGCTTCTGATTTTTGTACATTGATTTTGTATCCTGAGACTTTGCTGAAGTTGCTTATCAGCTTAAGGAGATTTTGGGCTGAGACAATGGGGTTTTCTAGATATACAATCAATTCATCTGCAAACAGGTACAATTTGACTTCCTATTTTCCTAACTGAATACCCTTTATTTCCTTCTCCTGCCTAATTGCCCTGGCCAGAACTTCCAACACTATGTTGAATAGGAGGGGTGAGAGAGGGCATCCCTGTCTTGTGCCAGTTTTCAAAGGGAATGCTTCCAGTTTTTGCCCATTCAGTATGATATTGGCTGTGGGTTTGTCATAGATAGCTCTTATTATTTTGAGATACGTCCCATCAATACCTAATTTATTGATAGTTTTTAGCATGAAGCATTGTTGCATTTTGTCAAAGGCCTTTTCTGCATCTATTGAGATAATCATGTGGTTTTTGTCTTTGGTTCTGTTTATATGCTGGATTATGTTTATTGATTTGCATATGTGGAACCAGCCTTGCATCCCAGGGATGAAGCCTACTTGATCATGGTGGATAAGCTTTTTGATGTGCTGCTGAATTCGGTTTGCCAGTATTTTATTGAGATTGTTGCATCAATGTTCATCAAGGATATTGGTCTAAAATTCTCTTTTTTGGCTGTGTCTCTGCCAGGCTTTGGTATGAGGATGATGCTGGCCTCATAAAATGAGTTAGGGAGGATTCCCTCTTTTTCTATTGATTGGAATAGTTTCAGAAGGAATGGTACCAGCTCCTCCTTGTACCTCTGGTAGAATTCGGCTGTGAATCCATCTGGTCCTGGACTTTTTTTGGTTCGTAAGCTATTGATTATTGCCACAATTTCAGATCCTGTTATTGGTCTATTCAGAGATTCAACTTCTTCCTGGTTTAGTCTTGGGAGGGTGTATGTGTTAAGGAATTTATCCATTTCTTCTAGATTTTCTAGTTTATTTGGGTAGAGGTGTTGTAGTATTCTCTGATGGTAGTTTGTATTTCTATGGGATCGGTGGTGATATCCCCTTTATCATTTTTTATTGCGTCTATTTGATTCTTCTCTCTTTTATTCTTTATTAGTCTTGCTAGCGATCTATTGATTTTGTTGATCTTTTCAAAAAACCAGTTCCAGGATTCATTAATTTTTTGAAGGGTTTTTTGTGTCTCTATTTCCTTCAGTTCTGCTCTGATTTTACTTATTTCTTGCCTTCTGCTAGCTTTTGAATGTGTTTGCTCTTGCTTTTCTAGTTCTTTTAATTGTGATGTTAGGGTGTCAATTCTGGATCTTTTCTGCTTTCTCTTGTGGGCATTTAGTGCTATAAATTTCCCTCTACACACTGCTTTGAATGTGTCCCAGAGATTCTGGTATGTTGTGTCTTTGTTCTCGTTGGTTTCAAAGAACATCTTTATTTCTGCCTTCATTTCATTAGGTACCCAGTAGTCATACAGGAGCAGGTTGTTCAGTTTCCATGTAGTTGAGTGGTTTTGAGTGAGTTTCTTAGTCCTGAGTTCTAGTTTGATTGCACTGTGGTCTGAGAGACAGTTTGTTATAATTTCTGTTCTTTTACATTTGCTGAGGAGTGCTTTACTTCCAACTATGTGGTCAATTTTGGAATAGGTGTGGTGTGGTGCTGAAAAAAATGTATATTCTGTTGATTTGGGGTGGAGAGCTCTGTAGATGTCAATTAGGTCTGCTTGGTGCAGAGCTGAGTTCAATTCCTGGGTAGTCCTTGTTTACTTTTGTCTCACTGATCTATCTAATGTTGACAGTGGGATGTTAAAGTCTCCCATTATTATTGTGTGGGAGTCTAAGTCTCTTTGTAGGTCACTCAGGACTTGCTTTATGAATCTGGGTGCTCCTGTATTGGGTGCATATATATTTAGGATAGTTAGCTCTTCTTGTTGAATTGATCCCTTTACCATTATGTAATGGCCTTCTTTGTCTCTTTTGATCTTTGTTGGTTTAAAGTCTGTTTTATCAGAGACTAGGATTGCAACCCCTGCCTTTTTTTTGTTTTCCATTTGCTTGGTAGATCTTCCTCCATCCTTTTATTTTGAGCCTATGTGTGTCTCTGCACGTGAGATGGGTTTCCTGAATACAGCACACTGATGGGTCTTGACTCTTTATCCAATTTGCCAGTCTGTGTCTTTTAATTGGAGCATTTAGCCCATTTACATTTAAAGTTAATACTGTTATTTGTGAATTTGGTCCTGTCATTATGATGTTAGCTGGTTATTTTGCTCATTAGTTGATGCAGTTTCTTCCTAGCTTTGATGGTCTTTACATTTTGGCATGTTTTTGCAGTGGGTGGTACCGGTTGTTCCTTTCCATGTTTAGTGCTTCCTTCAGGAGCTCTTTTAGGGCAGGCCTGGTGGTGACAAAATCTCTCAGCATTTGCTTGTCTGTAAAGTATTTTATTTCTCCTTCACTTATGAAGCTTAGTTTGGCTGGATATGAAATTCTGGGTTGAAAATTCTGTTCTTTAAGAATGTTGAATATTGGCCCCCACTCTCTTCTGTCTTGTAGAGTTTCTGCCGAGAGATCCGCTGTTAATCTGATGGGCTTCCCTTTGTGGGTAACCTGACCTTTCTCTCTGGCTGCCCTTAACATTTTTTCCTTCATTTCAACTTTGGTGAATCTGACAATTATGTGTCTTGGAGTTGCTCTTCTCGAGGAGTATCTTTGTGGCGTTCTCTGTATTTCCTGAATCTGAATGTTGGCCTGCCTTGCTAGATTGGGGACGTTCTCCTGGATAATATCCTGCAGAGTGTTTTCCAACTTGGTTCCATTCTCCCCGTCATTTTCAGGTACACCAATCAGACGTAGATTTGGTCTTTTCACATAGTCCCATATTTCTCGGAGGCTTTGTTCGTTTCTTTTTATTCTTTTTTCTCTAAACTTCCCTTCTTGCTTCATTTCATTCATTTCGTCTTCTATCACTGAGACCCTTTCTTCCAGTTGATCGCATCGGCTCCTGAGGCTTCTGCATTCTTCACTTAATTCTCGAGCCTTGGCTTTCAGCTCCATCAGCTCCTTTAAGGACTTCTCTGCGTTGGTTATTCTAGTTATCCATTTGTCTAATTTTTTTTCAAAGTTTTTAACTTCTTTGCCATTGGTTTGAATTTCCTCCTGTAGCTCAGAGTAGTTTGATTGTCTGAAGCCTTCTTCTCTCAACTCGTCAAAGTCATTGTCTGTCCAGCTTTGTTCTGTTGCTGGTGAGGAGCTGCGTTCCTTTGGAGGAGGAGAGGCACTCTGCTTTTTAGAGTTTCCAGTTTTTCTGCTCTGTTTTTTCCCCATCTTTGTGGTTTTATCTACTTTTGGTCTTTGATGATGGTGACACACAGAAGGGTTTTTGGTGTGGATGTCCTTTCTGTTTGTTAGTTTTCCTTCTAACAGACAGGACCCTCAGCTGCAGGTCTGTTGGAGTTTGCTAGAGGTCCACTCCAGACTCTGTTTGCCTGGGTATCAGCAGCGGTGGCTGCAGAACAGCGGTGGCTATAGAACTGCGGTGACTATAGAACAGTGGATCTTGGTGAACCACAAATGCTGCTGCCTGATCATTCCTCTGGAAGTTTTGTCTCAGAGGAGTACCCGGCCGTGTGAGGTGTCAGTCTGCCCCTACTGGGGGGTGCCTCCCAGTTAGGCTGCTCGGGGGTCAAGGACCCACTTGAGGAGGCAGTCTGCCTTTTCTCAGATCTCCAGCTACGTGCTTGGAGAACCACTACTCTCTTCAAAACTGTCAGACAGGGACATTTAAGTCTGCAGAGGTTACTGCTGTCTTTTTGTTTGTCTGTGCCCTGCCCCCAGAGGTGGAGCCTGCAGAGACAGGCAGGCCTCCTTGAGCTGTGGTGGGCTCCACCCAATTCGAGCTTCCTGGCTGCTTTGTTTACCTAATCAAGCCTGGGCAATGGCAGGCGCCCCTCCCCCAGCCTCGCTGCTGCCTTGCAGTTTGATCTCAGACTGCTGTGCTAGCAATCAGCGAGACTCCATGGGCATACGACCCTCTGAGCCAGGTGTGGGATATAATCTCCTGGTGTGCCATTTTTTAAGCCCGTTGGAAAAGCGCAGTATTAGGGTGGGAGTGACCTGATTTTCCAGGTGCCGTCTGTCACCCCTTTCTTTGACTAGGAAAGGGAACTCCCTCACCCCTTGCGCGTCCCGAGTGAGGCAATGCCTCGCCCTGCTTTGGCTCATGCATGGTGTGCTGCACCCACTGTCTGGAGCTCCCTAGTGAGATGAACCCAGTACCTCAGATGGAAATGCAGAAATCACCCATCTTCTGCATCGCTCACGCTGGGAACTGTAGACAGGAGCTGTTCCTATTCGGCCATCTTGGCCCCACCCCCTCCTTTTTTTTTTTTTTTTTGTTTGTTTTTAGACAGAGTTTCACTCTTGTTGCCTGGAGTGCACTCTTGTAGACTGGAGTGCAATGGCATGATCTCAGCTCACTGCAACCTCCACCTCCCAGGTTCAAGTGATTCTCCTGCTTCAGCCTCCCAAGTAGCTGGGATTATAGGTGCCTGCAACCATGCCCAGCTAATTTTCGTATTTTTAGTAGAGGCAGTGTTTCATCATGTTGGCCAGACTGGTCTTGAGCTCCTGACCTCACATAATCTACCCACCTCAGTCTCCCAAAGTGCTGGGATTACAGGCATGAGCCACTGCACCTGGCTAGAATAACTTTTTAGAAGTAAGAGATTGGGGTGACCATGGATATGACAGCTGCTGCTAAGGATACCAGAGCAGAAAGAGAGAAAGTGCTGTCGATCTGCTGTATACGAACTGAAAGTAATACTTTCAACTCATTATGTGGGATAAACTAGTGAACTTTCAACTCATTATGTGGGATAAAATAAACTCATATATGGTTAATCCACTCTAGTTGAATATCTGTTACAGGCCTCTGAAAATGATCCCAAACTGATATGAAATATCATTTTATATTGATAATATATATATATTTCACACAACATCTCATTTTCTTTTTGTTTCTGTTAAAATAACCACAGCAATAATATTCATTGAGAACTAACTCTATGACAAAACTCTATTAAATGTTTTATAAATACCATAATCAAATCAATACTGAAAACAGTATAATACACTGATACCTATTAAAAAACACAAAAGCAAACGCTTTAAAATACAAAGAAAATTTAAAAGTATATAATCATAAGGTAAATTTTAACAGAGCAGTAATCATCAATAATAGATTAAACATTGAAATTTAAACTAGATATTAAAGCATTCAAACTAATAAACTTACACAAACTTTTGTATGATATATACATTTGTCTCACTTTCTTATAAAATGTCTAAAGAAAGTGAAAAGTCATATACTTAACCCTAAATAAAATATTAATAGATTTTTAAAAATTAAAAAAAAATTCTAGCTAAATTGTCTGAGCATAACCTGTAAAATAAACCCCACAATCATTTGAAAATATGCAAATTATCTCCCAAATAGCCAGTGTCTGAAGTACCCACCTCCCCCTTGCCTGCACATGATGCTACCCTGGGGTTCCAACCTGGAGGGGTGTTTTGAGATTTGGGCGTGGATATTAGAATGGAGAATGATGGAATATGTAGTGTGCATGCTAGAACTTGGGTGGAGATTTCCCATATAAAAAATTATCTGAATGGACTACCAGCTTCAGAAAAGCCAAGTAGAAGAAAAATTATCAACAGAGTGAACAGACAACCTAAAGAATGGGAGAAAATATTTGCAAACTATGTATCTGTCAATGGTCTAATATCCAGAATCTGTAAAGAACTTAAAGAAATCAATAACCAAAAAACAACCCCATCAAAAAATAGGCGAGGGACATGAACAGACACTTCTTAAAAGAAGACATACATGTGGCAAACAAGCATTTGAAAAATATTCAATATCACTAATAATTAGGGAAATGCAAATCAAAACCACAATGAGATACCATCTTGCACTGGTCAGAATGGCTATTACTAAAACATCAAAAAATAACAGATGCTAGCAAGGTTGCAGAGAAAACAGAATACTTATATACTGCTCGTGGGAATGTAAATTTGTCCAGCCACTGTTGAAAACAGTCTGGCGATTTCTCAAGGAACTTAAAATAGAATTAACATTTAACCCAAGAATCTCATTACTGGGTATATACCCAAAGGAATACAAATTATTCCACCAAAAAGACACATGCACATATGTTCATCACAGTACTATTCACAATAGCAAAGATACGGAATCAACCTAGATGCCCATCAGTCGTGGACTGGATGAAAAAAAATGTAGTATATATACATCATGGAATACCATGTAGCCATAAAGAAGAATGAGATCATGTCTTTTGCAACAACATGGATGGAGCTGGAGGCCATTATCTTACATGTATTAATGCAGCAACAGACAACCAAATACTGCATGTTCTCACTTACAAGTGGGAGCTAAACACTGAGTACACATGGACACAAAGGTTCAAGGGGTACATGTATAGGTTTGTTATGTGGGTAAATTGCGTGATGCAGGGGCTTGGTGTACAGATTATTTTGTCACCAAGGTAATCAGCATAATACCCGATAGGTAGTTTTCCAGTCTTCATCATTCTCCCACCCTTCACCCACAAATAGGGCCTGGTGTCTGTTGTTCCCTTCTTTGTGGAGGGTGGCAGGAGGGTGTGGATTGAAAAACTACCTATCAGGTATTATGCTGATTACCTGGGTGACAAAATAATCTGTACACCAAACCCCTGCAACATGCAATTTACCCATGTAACAAACCTGCACCTGTATCCCTTGAACCTAAAATAAAAGTTGGAAAGAAAATAAATGAATAAATAAAGGCTTTCCATCATGTGAAAAAAAAAAGTCAAGCAGAGAGGTGAATATATGGTAGAAAGCAATATGGCTGGTATTTAGGACAGTGGAGTGGTTAATGTGGTTAAGTGTGTAGGGAAGAGGTAGAACCTAGAGAGATCTCCCTGGGTGCCCAGGTATAGCGTTAAGGGGTTTCTAGTATGAGAAAAGTCCCAGGAGCAGGGGTTTTCTCTTAAAGGCTCATTTCCCTTTAAGCATCCTGATTAACAGTGTAAATAGAGGGTGTCTTAGTGCCAACTAGAAATAAGCTGAGGCAAATCAGGTCTTCAGCTGTTTTAAGCTGCACAGTTCTTCCTTTTCTTGAGAAGAGAAGTTTTTTTGGGTGGTCAAGATAGAAAAGTTGTGGAACAAACTGCCAATAACATCTAATGAACCCTAGGGTCTTGCTCTTCAGAGCATGCATAGCATGAGGGACTCTTGGTTGGACCCAATACATCCTAAAACCTATACCTGGAGCCGTGCTCATCACCAGATTACTCACTACCCTTCTATTCTCAAAATGACTATAGCATTCCAAAACACATGGGATGAGGTGGGGGCAGGTTGGGGGGTGGAGGTGCGGTTTGGAGCCACAGCTTAGTTTGCAACAACTTTTCTGCCTCAAAGCAAAATAATATTCTAATAATCACTAAATGAAACATTATGGAGCTATTTAACTGTTTACCATGATTTTAAAATTACATGTAGACTTTTCGTGTTGTAATGTCTAACTATATATACAAACTATGTGGACATCATGCTTAAACTGTATATAAAAGCCATAGAAAAAGGTAAATAAGGGGAAATATTTTCAAACATTATTTCTGGTATATTCAGATGAAGAACCTGTGGTTCATTTTATTTATTTATTTTTTACTTTACTGTTTTTCAAATATTCTTGAGTAGACAAATATTATTTTTTAAAAAACTTATGAAATTAATGAATTGAATGCTAAATATGCAAAATCAGAGATAGGTACTATGGGGACAAAAGGATACATAAGAGTAAGAGAAAGGATGTTTTCCTTAAAGACCTTTATCACAGTAGAAGAGATGAGACTTTCACACATAACGTAATATATAGTAGAAAGTAGCAAATGCTATAGCACAGAGATACAGGGGAAGAAGAGATTATGACCACTACCATTAGTCATTTGTAATTTACTTTTGACCCATACAGGTCAGCTTTAGACTAGTGAATAACAAAGTCAAGTTTATATAATGGATCTGTGTGTACCTGTAGGCTATTTTATTTACCATTTATATTTTGGAGAACGGGAACCTCATTGCTAGTATTTCATAGGATCTCTTTCCTCTCAGATTTGGAAAGGTGTTCTGAAAGAAGAAACAAGGTGTCACGCCCAGTGTTAGGTTCCAGCCCATGCTGAGGTCTGAAGGGAGTGGGTGGATGGGTGGGAGATAGCTGAAAGAATACTTGGGGTGGTGGGGGTGGAGGCGTAGGCAGATAAAGTATGGTTTTATTCAGCAGCTTTCTTTTTCTTCTATTTTCTTTTCGAGACGGAGTTTCACTCTTGTTGCCCAGGCTGGAGTGCAATGGCACGATCTCAGCTCACTGCAACCTCCGCCTCCTGGATTCAAGCGATTCTCCTGCCTCAGCCTCCCTGGTAGCTGGAATTACAGGCGCCCGCCACCAAGCCCAGCTAATTTTTTTGTATTTTTAGTAGAGACGGGATTTCACCGTGTTGGCCAGGCTGGTCTCGAACTCCTGACCTCAGGTGATCCACCCACCTCAGCCTCTCAAAGTGCTGGGATTACAGGCGTGAGCCACCGCGCCCGGCCTATTCAGCAGCTTTCTTATACTGTCTGTCTTGGCTGCCTGGTCCGGCTCTGCAGCTCCAGCCACTCCCACGCACAGCTGCATGGCCGGCTCTCCCTACAGGGTCACTGGACACGAACCATATGCACAGCATCAGCAGGACAGTTATACCTTTTACAAACAATAGTGGCTCCGAGCCAGGTGATGAGCCTTCCCATATTATGGCTACACAGCTGTGATTATATAACAAGTGGAGTTATGCGTCTGTGCTCCAAACTCACCGAAGTCACTTTGGCCTGGATGTCTCCTTTGGCCTATCCTTGACTAAAGCACATCCATATACCTTACACTCCAAACGCTAGGCCTAGGGAGACATAGGCCTTGGATACACAGGTTATACACATAAACTTTGGGTACATAGGCTCCATCTACACACACCGGCTTTATACATAAGTTTTGGGCATACAGATTTGATTCACCGGTTTGGCACACAGGCCTTACACAAGGGTAATTTAATTTTAACAGACCTGTTTTGACATGACTTGAATTGATTTGAAATACACCTGAGAATTATAGTAGCTTAAAGATGACCCTTGACTCATTTTCTGGTCAAAAAATACATTCCAGAGAATTTTAAATATGAAAATAACCTTTGTGAGACTTCTACAGTGAGGATTTTAAAAGCTTCTATAATTTAAGCAAGTGTATAGACTATCAGCAGCTGAACCCCTAATTTCCCGAGCCTTTCTAAAGCATTAAAAAAAATAAATCTCTTAGCAAATATTAAATCTGATCCTACTGTTTTCAAAGTGGTCATCTGACACCGAAATGGAAAGCATACGTAGAGAATGATAGGGAGAAAGGACATCAAATATTTATTCTAGCTGTCATTTCATTTCAATTTAGAATACAGTGTTGTGAAAGTTATACAGATCACATGTAGATATTATTCAAAGTGCTTCAATAATAGGAATACAAAATAGAGTTAAGCATTTGATTTTATTATTCAGTTTCCATTCTTTAGGTTATAAAGAGACAAATACAGCAAGCACACAATGACTAAATGGGCAGAAAAATGGAGTTAAGTATCTAAAATTTAAATTACATTGTTCAGAATATATTGAGTACAATTAATAATAGCATTTTGGGAATTACAAAAGAAGAGAACACAAGCATATTTTGATTGTGTTTTTATTCCATTCACATGGAAATTTTAATTTTATTTAAAGAAAAAGAAGAAATACTTTGATAACTATGTATACCTGTATAAAATAAATAGTTATAATCCAATGTTTAAAGGAATGTTTGGCATAACAAAGACATCATGTTCTAGCACACATCCATTTCAAAAGCACTGTGGGGTTCTGATAACACACAACAGTAACTTCCTTACTTTCCTTGACTACAACCCATGGAAAGAAATAAACTGTCAAATCATAGCCAAAAAGATAATCTAGTTTACTTTCCCCCTTTGAGGCTGAATCATGTGTCAGCCCTGGGTACTACTGTGAAGTTCTTCTGTTCTTAAAACTACTATTATTCAGTTCATCTGTAAAATGAGTCTAATACAGTTAGGAGGACTAAGTCAAAGAATGTGAATAAAACACTCAGTATGGGTATCATACATATGAGGCAATAAAAAAAGCATCTACTACTATTATTATTAAGAAGATAATATGGTAACCTGCTTGAGCAACCTCTTTTAAACTGTAAAAACATTTTTTTCCAAGAAATTTTTCCTCTTATATTTCTTTTAGACAATTGAATTTCCCATGCTACAATTTATACTGTATATCTAGCATTGGCAATGTCCTCTAATTATTTGTTTCACGTTTTTCTCCACATTCCTCTGCCATTCTTTAACCTTGTGAGTTCCTTGAAGTTAGGATCCCAGTCTTATTCCAATTTTATGCCCAGTGCATAGCTTGAAGCTGGGTATTCAGTCAATTCTTAACATACATCAGTTCAGTGAGTGTGAGAAGAAAAATAACATTTTTGACTAATATATTCTCTTGCTCTTTTAAAATTAAATTTACTTTTGAAAAAGTAATATTTGCACATAGTTTATAAGCCAAATAGAACAGAATGATATGTAACAAAATACAGTAATTTCCTCTCACTTTTCCAGTTCTCTTCGCTAGAGGCAATCACTTTTGATTTCTTTAGAGGTTTCTTCCTTTTATGTTACCATATTTCTAAATAGTATATATATATAAAATATATATGTATATATACACATATATGTATATGTATATAAAAATATATAATTTTATATATACACACACACACACACACATATATATATATACACATTTTTTGAGACAGAGTCTTGCTCTGTCACCCAGGCTGGAATGCAGTGGCACCATCTCAGCTCACTGCAACCTCTGCCTCCTGGGTTCAAGTCATTCTCCTGCCTCAGCCTCCCGAGAAGCTGGGATTACAGGTGTGTGCTGCCATGCCCGGCTAATTTCTGTATTTTTAGTAGAGATGGGGTTTCACCATGTTGCCCAGACTGGTCTCTAACTCCTGACCTCAGGTGATCCACCTGCCTCAGTCTCCCAGAGTGCTAGGATTACAGACGTGAGCCACTGCACCTGGACTCTATTGACTTTCTAATAAAAAGTCTAGCTAATATGAAATATGTCTAATATGAAAGTCTAGTCTAATATGAAAGAACTAGCTCCCTGAAACTTCTATCACTTCTGCTTCCCTTCCCTATTTCCTACAATAGAGTTATATCAGAAGATTTTGTTTACATCTATATTTATTGCTTAAATTATTATGAATATGTGAGTAATATTTATAACTGAGCATTTTAGAAATTTATTAAAATTACATTTTCTTTTGTATTTTTAATGTTTTAACATCAATGATAGCCTTGCTTTTTCATAAATGAAAAAGAATTCATTTAAAACTTTTGCTAATTTTTCATATTTTCCAACAGTCTTTTGATACCATTTTCACCAATATCATTCTTATCAGGTAATCTACTAATTATTTTATGGAGTCATACATCTGGAGCTCTCCATCCCTTTTCTATTTGAATGAACTGCTCTTTAGAAATGCTTCAAAGCACCTGTCCAGGAACTTCCCTTTGTTGCCATGCAAAAAATTTCATTGATTTTCTCCTGATTTGGGTGTCCTATTTTCTTCATCCTGTCTTTTCTTCTTTCTAGTTTATTTCCTTGTTTTGTTGGAGTATATCCTTTATTTCTTGAGAAAGAGTGCATGAGAAATACAATATTTGAGAGTATGCATACTTGAAAATGTCTTTATTTTACCGTATCACTGCTAGTGTGGGCATTGATTTCGATGATGGAAAAATTTTTTAGTCACAGTCGTGAAGGTGTTTCTTCATCCTTTTCTAGAGAGCAGTGGTGTTGAGATGCCTGAAATTAATTTGATTCCTCATCTTTGCATGGCATTCTATCTTTTATCTCTTTTTGAGGTTATCTCTGTTATCCTAAAATTTCACTTATATGCTTGAGTGTGGATCTATTTTTCATCTCTCTTGTTAGCACTTAGTATGCCCTTTTAATCTGGAAATCATGACTTTCAGTGCTGGGAAATTTTCTTTAATTATTTTCTTGATGATTCCCTGGTTACTCTTTAATTTCTCTTTCTGAAAGATCTATAATTCAAATATTGCACCTTCGGGACCATCTTATTTTCTCATATTTTCTCTCATTTCCTTTCTCTTTGTCTTTGCACTTTAATTACTAGATGATTTCTTTGACATTATCTTTCATCAGTACTATTGAGTTTTTCCTCTCTGCCATTATGCTTTTAATCATGTTCTTTTTTTGTTTTCTAAACATCTCTTTTTATCTAGCATCTTGTTTTGGTTTCATAGATGCAGTATTTTCTCTTATTTCTCTGAGAACATTTGAACTTTCTTCTCCCACTAAGGTCTTTGTTTCTATTATTGTTTTTCTCTCTATTGTTCATGTTAGAGCTTTCCTTTGATTTCCCCTTATCCTTGTCATTTCCTCATTTTAAGTGTGGGGAACAAAAAAGTCATCAACATTGAGCCAGCATTCTGGAAGCCACGAGGAAAGAATGGAGGGGTCTCAGCATTCAGTATTCAATATGTTTATGTTCACTTTTCCACCCAGTTTTCACACTGTGCTTGGCATTTCCCAGTCCAAAGACCTCCTGTTTTGTCTTTAAATACTAAAACTCCAGTATTTCTACTGGGTTAAATGAGAGTAATCACCCAGCTATAGAAAGTGACGGAAGGAATCTTTGACTTAGTACATCTTTTTTTTTTTTTTTTTTTTTTTTTACAACAAATTATCAGTATGTTTATTAAAGCAACTTCCTCCAGTCCTCCGTTTTTAGTCTTGGGCCATTCTAGAGATGGTGCCAGTTCCTGAGCCTTCTGTGCATTCTCGATGTCATGTTGGTTCTCTGCTCTCTCCACTGCTACTTCTCAGTTCTAAATTTACCCTTTTTACTTGCTCTGTGTAAATGGAGATGGGCCAATTAAATATTTCTCTTTGCAGCTGCCATGATGTTAAGCTTTGTTACTAGGTGGTGTTGGAGATACACCGCAGAAGGAAGAGGCTTTCTTTCTTGGTTCCAATGTGTTCCTTTCGTCAGGCTCCTACAGTATGAGTAGCTTCTGCAGCATGAGTCTCTTTCTAGTGCAGGTAACTTCTCTGGGGCCTGGCTTTACAGTTCACGCCAGGTAGCATAACCCAGCGGCCAGCAGCTTCCTCAGCATCTCCACATCTCAGGCAGTTTTGTTGTTGTTTTGTTTTGTTTTGTTTTGAGACAGTGTCTTGCTCTGTCACCCATCACCCAGGCTAGAGTGCAGTGGCTCGATCTTGGCTCACTACAACCTCCACCCCCTGGGTTCCAGTGATTCTCCTGCCTCAGCCTCCCTAGTAGCTGGGATTACAGGTGTGTGCCACCATGCCCAGCTACTTTTTTGTATTTTTAGTAGAGATGGGGTTTTGCTATGTTTGCCAGGCTCGTCTCAAACTCCAGGCCTCAAGTGATCTGCCCGCCTTGGCCTCCCAAAGTGCTGGGATTACAGGCACGAGCCACCACACCCAACCCATCTCAGGCAGTTCTAAAACAGAGTGCCTCCAGTCTGCTATCTCCCTAGAAATAGTTTTCTCTGCACCCTAGATGGTGTTTTTATTTCCAGCAAGTCCACCAGTGCAGCATCAAGGCATCCTCTTTGCATCCAGGGAGCCATTTCTATTCCTCTTCCAACAAGGTCTGGATCTCAGTCTTTAGGGCTAGTGGTGGGGTTGGGTGGAGAGTGGACAGAAATAGGTTCATCTTTGGGCTCTAGCTCATTGTAAAGAGTAGTGGCTACTCCTTATATCTGCTATTCCTAAATTCACTGGATTTTTTTTTATTTCTTACTAACTAATCTTCGTTTATCCCTATCTCCTGTTATAGTTAGTAATTCTTTATTATAAACTCTCCCTGTTCAAATTACTGCATTCAATTTGTTCTTAGCAGATACAGTTACTTAAAGCCTACCCAAAGCTCTCTGTCACCCGCAAGGTAATAGCATGGTCTACTCTGCTCTTCTTAATCTGCCCCTGACCATCTCTCCATTTATCCCCTGGCTACCCTGACCACCTGTATTCTGCTCCTAACCTCTAAATACTCATTTTCTTTTCAAGAGTGTAAACTATTAGGTTGGTACAAAAGTAATTGCAGTTTTTGCCATTAAAAGTAATGACCAAAACCGCAAATTACTTTTGCACCAACCGAATACTCAGTTTTCAGGGTCCACAAAGCCGATTGATATCCTGGCCCTTAAATGCATGCAGTTTCCTCACTCTAGAAATACCTGAACTCATCACCTTGTTGCACTCATCTCTCAAGATTGCTCAAATATCTTCTTTTTTTTTTTTTTTTTTTTTTCTGAAAAAGGCTTCCCTGACTCTTCGCTCTCATGAAATGAGTTGCTTTTAGTTCTTTCTCCTCTTAGGACACAAGCCATCCATAGGTCTGTCTCCCTGAGTTTACAGTGAACCATTTATCCTTCTTTATATTACCAGATCTTTCATGCTGACCTTTTGTTATATATTAAGAACTCAGTAAAATTGTGAAATAAGTGAACGTGTTTAATTTTTAAGGAATCTAATTTACAGTTTCCTCCATAGAGAATTGAACAATGAATAAGCAAGAGAAAGGTGAGATTTCAGGAAAGGGAAAAAGATTAAACAGTAGGATGACTCTTCCTTAATGTGCAGCTATATTTTCACTCCTGTCACCACAAATACGACTGCACCACCCTGCTATTTCAAAGCAGCTGTCAGGCCAGCTGGAGCTTGGAGCTCTTAATAAATCATGTGAATGGAGCAAAGTGACACAGATGCTTCTAGTTTAGGGAAAAATTAATCATCAGTATATTCCAGTATTCTGGTGGACATTTGCATTTATAGGTCAACAGGTACAGCTGAGAATTTATAGTTCGCAAAAGCAATCAGAAATCAGCATTTCTTAGATTCCTTAAATTTGTCAATTAAAAATTTTGTACTACAGAGCTGGCATTTCCCTGAGCTGGAATTTTGCTTATACACAAGGACTACTAGACTACATTACTGTGACTTCAAACTATTTGTTACTTTCTGATGAAGATAACACATTAGCCTACAATAATGACAGAAAAAGTAATTAATTCCACCTATAAAGCAAAGATTCTTGAATTTTCCAGGCATTGTCTCAATGATCTGCTTTGAAATGTAGATATTTAAATATGTGTTAATTAGCTTTCTATTTGGTTTAGACATTATGCAGTTCAATAGAAATATAATGTTAAATAAATCCTAGGGCACAGAGATTGTCCATGCAATGCCTCTCTAAATGTTCTGATACGTTTATAAGGCACATGATACTCATAATGCTTGCATTTGAATAGTGCTTGTACTCACTTCAAAAACTCACATTTATAAAGTTATAAGATGGCCAGGAATTATTATCTTCATTTTACAGTGGAAAGATAACTGAGCAGTAGTGGGGCTGTCTATCAAAGGTCATACAGCCAGTATGTTGGAAAACAAGGACTTTAATCAAGGGCTCTATTATTCAGGGGTAAGTATATAACCTGAACAGAGTAAACTTTAAAGAGATCCACATTTTAATAAACAGGTCAATTCTTTTCTTATATAGAGATTCATGCAAGGCTGGGGCACCAAAAAATCAATGAATTGAACATGAAATACTAGACTTTTCTAAGTGACCTCTAAAAAATCAATTCAAAAGAACACTCTATTAGTAACTTTAGATAATTGCCTGCACAGCTATTTGGGGAAAAATAAGTTTCCTCTTAAAGATTTTCAATAAAACCAACAGCAAATTAAGGGGGGACAGATAGGGAGATACCGTGAAGGAGATGGGCAAAGCAGAAGGTAATACATTCATCAATTTATTTCTAGATCACATGTTTATGATGCTTCTTTTCTTTGTTCCAGTCACTGAGATAAACACATATAAATAGAGAAATAACAACCTCTGTGAAAAGCGCTCTATTAGTTATGAACTATGTGCTGGGGGTAACCTAGAGATGGGACTGATCCACTGGTTTGGGGGAATAAGAAAATCAGAAAATAAAGGATATTTGAGTTGAGTCTCGAGGATTAATTGAGTAATCCACGAGAAGCAGAGGAGCAAAGTCATTTTCAGCAGAAGGACCAAGATGTACAAAGACTGGAAATTAAGAAAACACACAATGTATTCTAGGAAACGTGAGGAATCCATCCTGACTTGAGAATAAGCTGCAGGTGTTAGAGCCAAGGCCATAAAAACAGTTGGAAGTAATATTTGAAGGAGGTTTTTGGCTATGAGTTGTTTGCATTTTATCTTGTAGACAGCAGAGAGACATTGGAATTTCATATATTGTGGCAAGGACAATTGAGAAAACTCAACATTTAAATTGACTTTAGACAAGACACAAAGTGCTAAAATCAAGGAAAAAAATAGAAGATAAAAGCCACACAGAGTTGGCCTGAATGCAGCATTTTCTCTTTGATGTGGAGGGGATAATCTCATATCCTAATTTTGTAGTTTCCTATCCTGCAGGCCTTCTTTTTCTTTTCAAATTGCCATTAGGACTTTAGCCTTTGGTTCTATTTCTTATCTTAGTGTTCTGCTTTCTTTCAAAACATTACTTGATGGCTGGTTTGAAGATCCTGTTCACTGTCATTTAGCTCTTGTTTATAAGTGTTGATACTTGTGAAAAGGCTAATCTCATTATAACATGTAAGAGAAAAACACCAACTTGGAATTGAAAAGATGTGTATAATACAGAAATATCACACAAAAGTTCAGGGGCTTGTCACCTTGGTGAAACTTATTGTGGTCTAGTGGTTTGGGGCATTTAGATCTATGCTTTTAAAGAAGAAGGATGATATGGTCTGGTTCTGTGTGCCCACCCAAATCTCATCTTGAATTGTAATCTGAATTTTAATCCCCACGTGTTGGGGAAGGCACCTTGTGGGAGGTGATTAGATGATGGGGCAGTTCCTCCATGCTCTTCTCATGATAGTGAGTGAGTTCTCATGAGATCTGATGGCTTTATAAAGGGCTTTTCCTGCCTTTGCTCAGCACTTCTTCCTGCTGCTATGTGAAGAAGGACGTGTTTTCTTCCCCTTCCACCATAATTGTAAGTTTTCTGAGGCCTCCAAAGCCATGCTGAACTGTGAGTCAATTAAACCTCTTTCCTTTATGAATTAGCCAGTCTTTGGTATGTCTTTATTAGCAGCATGAGAACGACTAATACACAGGACAAGTTACTGCATCTGGCCCCTTCTAACACAAAAAGGCGGCACAACAACTTGTCAACTTCCTTGAATTTTTAGAAACAACAAACTTCTTACTTGGACATGCTATTCTGATCTATGTACCTAGTGTCTCTAAAGACTGCCAATTTTGAGTAGGACCAGAACAAAAGAAGGCTCTGTATAAGGTCCATGCTCCCATACAAGCTGCTCTACAACTTGGGCCATATGAATGAGCAGATCTGCGGGTGCCTGAAGTGTCAAAGGTAGACAGAGATGCTGTATGGAACCTCTGGCAGGTCCCTACAAGTGAATCCTAGCACAGAGCTTTAATAATTTTGAAGCAAAACTTTGTCTCCTCTGCAGAAAACTCTCCTCCTTTTGAAAACCAGCTTCAGGCTTGCTACTGGACAAGCCACAAGTAACTGAAAGCTTGACAATTATCTACTAAGTTACCAAGCCACATGTGCTACCTATCACAAACTAAGTGTTTTGCACCAAGCCAAAACACTGGATATGTATAATAACACTTGATTGTCAAATGAAAGTAATATATACAAGACCAGGCTCAGCCGGGCGTGGTGGCTTACGCCTGTAATCCCAGCACTTTGGGAGGCTGAAGTGGGTGGATTACTTGAGGTCAGAGGTCTGAGACCAGCCTGGCCAACATGGTAAAATCCTGTCTCTACTAAAAATACAAAAGAAATAGCCAGGTGTGGTGGCGGGCACCTGTAGTCTCAGCTACTCAGAAGGCTGAGGCACGAGAATCACTTGAATCCAGGAGGCAGAGCTTGCAGTGAGCTGAGATGGCTGCACTACAGCCTGGGCAAAAGAGAAAAACTTCATTTAAGAAAAACAAAAAAACAGGCTCAAGCAGATCTTCAAGGTAACAAATTAGTGCATGAGCAAATGTCACAGATGTTCATGGCCCATATTTCTGCCTCATTGCTTCTTTCAACTCAACCGATACCTGTGTTCTCATGGGGAGCTCCCTATAATCAACCAAGGAAGAACAAAATTTGGGGTCTGCTTTATATGACCAGGAGAGGATTGTTTTGGATTGTTCTGTGTCAACTTGGTTAAGCTGAGAACCGTATTTCCCAGAATCTTTTTCCCTGTAAGATTGTAAGTTAAAGCTGACCAAAAGAGAACTTGTGTAAGATTTGGAAGGCACACATGTGAAACAGCAGCCTTTACTTTCTGGAAGTCTTTGTGGCTAGACAAAGTGACAAAACCAAGGAGCTCTTCTTCCCAACTCTTGGCCCTGGCAATTAGGAGCAGTCCAGGTTCAACAACAGATGCTTGTCTGTAAATCGACAGAAGCCATAGATAACTTCCCATAGACCTCTCATTAGCTTACCTCTAACAGAATCACTTGATGGGTAGATGTGCTGTCCTCAGATTTACCTGCAATCATTGACTTTTTTACTTGCACCTTTGCTTAGGGAGGATCCTACTCCTTATTTGATCTTCCTACTCTCCCTTTGGATTTGCAGTTACCTAGCTCCTCCCTCAATTGGGTAAGGTCTGATTTTTACAATGTATCCCTTACCCCGTTGCACTTATAGTAACCCTACTTCCATGACTGGACTATCACATACCCTCCAAGCTCCCGATTTTTTTTGGAAATCATCATGTTAACACAAGAGGTGAACAACTAAGTGAATTTTAAGAAATTAGGAAGTCCTATTTGTTAGGACTCCATGTTTCAAAAACACATACTAAACTTACTGAAGCAGAAAGGTGAATTTATTGGCTCAAATTGCTGAGAAGTGCAGGTTGTATTTGTAGGGTTTAGTCATGGCTGAATTTAGATACACACACAATGTTATCAAGCCTCTTTTTTCATGCTTCTCAGCTCTGATTTCTTGGCTGGTTTCATTCTCAGAAGCTCTGTAAGTGGTAACAAAGACAAATATTGACAGTTCCAGGCTTATATTCTACCAGCTTAGTAATGCCAGTGGATTAAGAATATTCTTTCCTCAATAGGTTTAGCAAGTTTTCAAGCTGATTTGGTTCATGTACCTTGAGTCATATGTTCACCTCTTAAGCAGCAATTGTGGATTCTACTAGTGAAAGGTACAGTCAGACTAGTCCCCAAGAACTATGGCAGCCCATCCAAACCTCACATGTTGGAAATAGAGAAGTCTATAAGAAAAAATGGGCTTCCATTGTCAAGATGTTTGATAAGTAAAATCTACATATCTCCATTATATCATCCTTAGTTGTCCAGTAAATACATAAACTTTCTTTTAATTCATGTATCTTCAACATTTCTTTTAGTACATACATTGCTTCTATGTAATATAATAAAACTCCTTCATACACAAGAAAAAGCCACAGTCACCTCCTCTCTATTTTTTTAAATTTTATTTTTTAATCAATTGATTAATATATATTTTTTCCATAAGTTATTGGGTACAGGTGGTATTTGGTTACATGAGTAAGTTCTTTAGCGGTGATTTGTGAGATTTTGGTGCACCCATCACCGGAGCAGTATACATTGCACCATATTTGTAGTCTTTTATCCCTTGCTTCCCTCCCACTTTTTCCCACAAGTCCCCAAAGTCCATTGTATCATTCTTACGCCTTTGCGCCCTCACAGCTTAGCTCCCACATATCAGTGAGAACATATGATGTTTATTTTTCCATTCCTGAGTTACTTCACTTAGAATAATAGTCTCCAAACTCATCCAGGTCACTGCAAATGCTGTTAATTCATTCCTTTTTATGGCTGCATAGTATTCCATCATATATATATGACAAAGGACTGATATCCAGAATCAACAACGAACTCAAACAAATCAGTAAGAAAAAAACAAACAGTCCCCAAAAAGTGGGCTAAGGACATGAATAGACAATTCTCAAAAGAAGATATACAAATGGCCAACAAATATATACATAAAATAGATACATAATTATATATATAATATATATATATGCCACTTTCCCCACTTTATGTTTTTGTCTGCTTTGTCAAAGAACAGTTGGCTGTATTTGGTTTATTTCTGGCTTCTGTATTCTGTTCCATTGGTCTGTGTGCCTATTTCTATCCCAGTATCATGCTGTTTTGGTGACTATGGCCTTATAGTATAGTTTGAAATCAGGTAGTGTGATGCCTTCAGATTTGGTCTTTTTGCTTAGTCTTGCTTTGGTTGTGTGGGCTCTTTTTTGTTCCCTATGAATTTTAGAATTGTTTTTTTTCTAATTCTGTGAAGAATGATGGTGGTATTTTGATGGGGATTGCATTGAATTTGTAGATTGCTTTTGGTACTATGGTCATTTTCACAATATTGATTCTACCCATCCATGAGCATGAGATGTGTTTCCATTTGTTTGTGTCATCTATGATTTCTTTCAACAGAGTTTTGTAGTTTTCCTTGTAGAGGTCTTTGACTCCTTGGTTAGGTATATTCCTAAGAATTTTATTTTTTGGCAGCTATTGTAAAAGGGGTTGAGTTCTTGATTTGATTCTCCATTTGGTTGCTGTTCATGTACAGAAGAGCTACTAATTTGTGTACATTAATCTTGTATCCGGAAACTTTGCTGAATTCTTTTATCAGTTCTAGGAGCTTTCTGGAGGAATCCTTAGGGTTTTCAAGGTAAACAATCATATCATCAGCAAACAGTGACAGTTTGACTTTCTCATTACTGAATCAGATGCCCTTTATTTCTTTCTCTTGTTTGATTGCTCTGGCTAGGACTTCCAGTACTATGTTGAAGAGGAGTGGCGAGACTGGGCATCCTTGTCTTGTTCCAGTTCTCAGAGAGAATGCTTTCAATTTTTCCCCATTCAGTATTATGTTGGCTGTGGGTTTGTCGTAGATGGCTTTTATTACACTAAGGTATGTCCCTTGTATGCTGATTTTGCTGAGAATTTCAGTCACAAGAGATGTTGGATTTTGTTGAATGCTTTTTTTTTTGCATCTATTGAGATGATCATGTGATTTTTGTTTTTAATTCTGTTTATGTGGTATATCACACTTATTGACTTGCATATGCTAAACCATCCCTGCATCCCTGGCATGAAACCCACTTGATCATGGTGGATTATCTTTTTGATATGTTGTTGGTTAGCTAATATTTTGTTAAGGATTTTAGCATCAGTGTTCATCAAAGATATCAGTCTGTAGTTTTCTTTTTTGGTTATGTCCTTTCCTGATTTTGGTATTAGGGTGATGCTGGCTTCATGAAATGAATTAGGGAGGGTTCCTTCTTTCTCTATCTTGTGGAATAGTGTCAAAAGGATTGATACCAATTCTTCTCTGAATGTTTGGTAGAATTCTGCTGTGAATCCATCTGGTCCTGCACTTTTTTTTGTTGGTGGTAATTTTTAAATTACCATTTTAATCTCGCTGCTTGTTATTGGTCTGTTCAGGGTATCTAATTCGTCCTGATTTAAGTTAAGAGGGTTGTATTTTTCCAGGAATTTATTTATCTCTTCTAAGTTTTCTAGTTTATGTTCATAAAGGTGTTCATAGTAGCCTTCAATAATCTTTTGTATTTCAGTGGTGTCAGTTGTAATGTCTTCTGTTTGATTTCTCAGTGAGGTTATTTGGATTTTCTCTCTCTTTTTCTTGGTTAGTCTTGCTAATGGTCTATCAATTTTATTTATCTTTTCAAAGAACCAGCTTTTTGTTTCATTTATCTTTTTTATTTTTATTTTTTCTATTTCATTTAGTTCTGCTCTGATCTTGGTAATTTCCTTTCTTCTGCTGGGCCTGGGTTTAGTTTGTTCTTGTTTCTCTAGTTCCTTGAGGTATGACCTTAGAATGTCAGTTTGTGCACTTTCAGTCTTTTTGATGTAGGCGCTTAGGGCTATGTACTTTCCTCTTAGCACTGCCTTTGCTGTATCCCAGAGGTTTTGATAGGTCGTGTCATTATTGCCGTTCAGTTTGAAGAATTTTTAAATTTCCATCTTGATTTCGTTTTTGACCCAATGCTCATTCAGGAGCAGGTTATTTAATTTCCATGTATTTGCATGGTTCTGAAGGTTCCTTTTGGAGTTGATTTTCAGTTTTATTCCACTGTGGTCTGAGAGAGTGCTTGATATAATTTTAATTTTATTAAATTTTTAAAATTTATTGAGGCTCATTTTTGGCCTATCATATGATCTATCTTGGAGAAAGTTCCATGTGCAATTGAGTAGAATGTGTATTCTGAGGTTGTGTTGCTGTCTATCTCATTTCTTAGGTCTATTAGTAATTTTTTTTTTTTATAAATTTGGGAGCTCCAGTGTATGGTGCATATATGTTTAGGATTGTAATATTTTCCTGTTGGGCAAGGCCTTTTACCTTTATATATTGTCCGTCTTTGACTCTTTTAACTGCTGTTGCTTTAAAGTTTGTTTTGTCTGATATAAGAAGAGCTACCCCTGCTCGCTTTTGGTGTCCATTTGCATGAAATGCCTTTTTCCACCCCTTTACTTTAAGTTCATGTGAGTCCTTAAGTATTAGGTGAGCCTCCTGAAGTCAGCAGGTAGTTGGTTGGTGAGTTCTTACCCATTCCATGGTTCTATATCTTTTAAATGGAGATTTTGGCCAATTACATTCAATGTTAGTATTGAAATGTGAGGTACCCTTGCGTTCATCATGCTCTTTGTTGCCTGCATAGTTTTTTTTTGTTTGTTTTTGTTTTTTTTTGTTTTTTTTTTTTTTTGCTTTTTAACTTGTATTTTTGCTGTATAGTTTCTGTGTGATTTATGCTTTAAAGAGGTTCTGTTTTGATGTGTTCCCAGGATTAGTTTCAAGATTTAGAGCTCTTTTAGCAGTTCTTGTCGTGGTGGCTTGGTAACAGCAAATTCTCTCAGCATTCGTTTGTCTGAAAACGACTGTATCTTTCCTTCATATATGAAGCTTAGTTTTGCTGGATACAAAATTCTTGGCTGATAATTGTTTTGTTTGAGGAGGCTGAAGATAGGGCCCCAATCCCTTCTAGCTTGGAGGGTTTCTGCTGAGAAATCTGCTGTTAATCTGATAGGTTTTCCTTTATAGGTTGCTTGGTGCTTCGTCTCACAGCTGTTAAGATTTTTTCCTTCGTCTTAACTTTGGATAATCTGATGACAAAGTGCCTATGCAAAGATCTTTTTGTGATGAATTTTCCAGGTGTTCCTTGTGCTTTTCGTATTTGGATGTCTAGGTCTCTAGCAAGGCTGGAGAAGTCTTCCTCAATTATTCCCCCAAATATGTTTTCCAAGCTTTTGGAATTCTCTTCTTCCACAGGAATGCCAATTATCCTTAAGTTTGGTCATTTAACGTAATCCCAGACTTCTTGGAGACTTTGTTCATATTTTCTTATTCTTTTTTCTTTGTCTTTATTGGATTGGGTTAATTAGAAGGCTTTGTCTTCAAGCTCTGAATTTCTTTATTCAACTTGTTCAATTCTATTGCTGAGACTTTCTAGAGCATTTCACATTTCTAAAAGTGTGTCCAAAGTTTTCTGAATTTTTGATTGTTTTTTTCCTTAAGCTATCTATTTCTTTGAATATTTCTCCCTTCACTTCTGGTATCATTTTTTTTTTTATTTCCTTGCATTGGGCTTCACCTTTCTCTGGTCCTTCCCTGATTAGCTTAATAACTAACCTCCTGGATTCTTTTTCAGGTAAATCAAGGATTTCTTCTTGGTTTGGATCCATTGCTGGTGCACTACTGTGATTTTTCACGGGTGTTGAAGAGCTTTTTTTTGTCATATTACCAGGGTTGGTTTTCTGGTTCCTTCTCATTTAGGTAGGCTCTGTCACAGGGAAGGTCTAGGGCTGAAGGCTGTTGTTCAGATTCTTTTGTCCCATGGGGTGTTCCCTTGATGTAGTACTCTCATCCTTTTCCTGTGGATGTGGCTTCCTGTGAGTCAAACTGCAGTGATTGTTGTCCCTCTTCTGGGTCTAGCCACCCAGTAAGTCTACCTGGCTCTGGGCTAGTACTGGGGGTTGTCTGCACATAGTCCTGTGATGTGAACTGCCCTTGGGTCTCTCAGCTGTGTGTCTCAGTGCCTGTTCTGGTGGAGGTGGCAGGGGGTGCAATGGACTCCATGAGAGTTCTTAGCTTTAGTGGTTTAATGCTCTATTTTTGTGCTGGTTGGCCTACTGTCAGGTGGTGGCGCTTTCCAGAAAGCATCAGCTGTAGGAGTATAGAGAGGGACTGGTGGTGGGTGGGGCCCTAGATCTCCCAAGATTAATACCCTTTGTCTTCTGCTACCAGGGAGGGTAGGGAAGGAACATCAGGCGGGGGCAGGACTAGGCATGTCTGAGCTCAGGCTCTCCTTGGGTGGGTCTTGCTGCGGCTGCTGTAGGGGATAGGAGTGAGATTCCCAGGTCACTGGAGTTGTGTACCTAGGAAGATTATGCCTGCCTCTGCTGAGCCATGCAGGTTGTCAGGGAAGTGGGGGAAAGCCAGCAGTCACAGGCCTCACCCAGCTCCCATGCAAACCGAAGGGTCAGTCTCACTCCCACTGTTCCCCGCGACAACAGCCCCAAGTCTGTTTCCAGGCAGAGGGGAAGACAGGCTTGAAATCTCCCGCCTCCCAGCTGTGAGAGAAGAAGGCTTGGTTCTTCCCCTGCTGGTGGAGTCTGCACACCAGATTTGCACACCTTCCCCCAAGTTCTGGCAAGGAGGCTTCTCATCGGGTTCATATTATTACAAAGTTCTGCTAGGGATTTCTTTCTCCCTATGTAGTTTTACCCTCACTTGGCTCTCTAAATTGGCTCAGCTCCAGGTAAGGTCGGAAACTTCTCCCGCAAACAGACCTTCAACTTTTCCAGTGGATATGTGTGTTCGGGAGAGGAAGGTTTCCCTTTCCCACTTCTGCAGTTGGGGCACTCACAGTTTTTGGGGTATCTCCAGGGTCCTGCAGGAGCAGTCCACTTCCTTTAGAGGATCTGTGGGTCCTCTCGGGATTGCTGGTTTGTTCTTGCACTTGATCTGGAGCTAAAATTCACAATGCAAGCTTCTGCAAGCTGTTCTGTCCGGAGCTGCACTCTAGTCCTGCCTCCCATCTGTCATGATGATCCTAGAATTCCATCTCCTCTCTAAAAAGTACAAAGCACACACATTTACTCTATGTACCTCTAGTAAGAGCTTTGCTTTGTGTTTGTCTGTCAGTCTTAAAGGTAGCTTCTCATGCTTGAGCAGTCTATGACTAAGTGGTTTATTTGTTTAACCACCTACAATATAACATAATAGATAAAATAAAGTAAATAAAATATAAAATTTAATAAAATTTTCACACAAATGAGAAAAGCGGGAAATTAATAAACAGTGGTTTTACTCATCAGAGTTTGCAAATTCTTTCTGCATGGAAGGGTAGTGAGCTCCTTGGTCAGCCAATCTGCATCATGGAGGATTTTATTTAACAGTTTCATATTCTTAAGTAAATTACTTGACATTTGCTATTGACATTGGGAAGGACCCTTTTTTGGTGGCTGCTGTAGGTTAGGGACCTACTTCCCATTGGTGAAATTTTGGTGGTGTAGGAAACGCTTAGGAATTGGGTATTTCCAAGCATTTGCCGCCAGTGTTAGGGTTTCTCTGGAAGAAAAAATTTCTTACAGCCTTGGGAGGTATGCAGCTAATCTGTATTTAGTTAATGATATAGACTAGTTACTGGAAACTGAGACCATGTTGAGCATAGTCTCAAGAGAAGTGTGAGTTTGTGATTTCTGTTTCTTAGTATTAGACCTCAATGGCTTACCCATATTTTAACTTTTAGCTTAATGGTTTGTAAGTGGCACCGAATAATTAGTTGGGATTGGAAGTGATAACTAATTCTCCTCATATCTCTAGGTAGCAGGACAGGGAATTTTTTTACTGCCTTTTAAATAAGATAATTAAATTGGAGTTACTGTCATTTTTACCTACAATATCATAGCTAACACCTTCTTCTGGCAGAAAATACCACTCAAAGTTCTTGGGAAGGTCCTGGAGATCATATCATAGCTTCCCCTAGATTCTATTCTTATTTTCAATGTTCTTGTCAGCCTCTCTGAGTTTCCTTTGCACTAACTTTTTCTTGGGGTAAAGATTTTGCCTTTTTTGATTTTCAAAGCTCATGGTTATTTGAATCTCAGCTGTCTCAGATTGTTAGATGCAGATATAAATCAAGGTTGTATTTTCTTTTGTCTTTGCTTTTAAACAGGTAAGCTTGAGAGAACTGGCTAAGATATTCCAGTATCCTGACATTTTTCTACCAAGTTCCTTAAAGTTATAGTCTCAGTAGACACATGAGTCTAAGAGTATGACAGGTAACAGTTTAACCAGTTTAACTGTCTACTTTTCTACTGTATAGCATGGATGGACTACCCTATAGCTACTGTAAAAAACACTAACTTCCCTGTTGTCCACCTCAACTTGGCCAATTCAACTTTTTAAGATTTTCCAGTAACAACAACTGTCTTCCATATTAGCCAAGATATTTTTAGGTGAAAGTGACAGCAACCCAATTTTAATTTAAAGAAAAAGGTATGAATTGGTTCACAAATCTGAAAAGGCCAAGGGTAGCCTGAGGCATGGCCAGATCTGAATTTGTGAGTGCTTTAATGACATCATCACAAATCTGTCTCTTACCACTTTTACCTCTGTTTTCCTTTGACTTTTCTTCACTCTTAGGCAACATCTTTTATGAGCTGACAAACTGTGGCTATAAGTGACTTCAGGCTTTTCATCTTCTAACAGTTTACTACCCCCAATGGAAGAAGCTATCTTTTTTTTTTCAAGTACTGAGCTGACTTTGATTTGCCTAACTTGGGTCACATGCCCAATCCTGTGCTAATCATTGGGTGTTGGACTTTTAGTAGACAGGCTTGGGTCACCCTTGAAGATGAGGGATGAGGAAAAGAAATAAAAAAAGAAGTTCACTTATTATAAAAGGGGTATTGAAGAAGCAAACACAACCAGTGTTCATCACTGTCATGAGGAACACTGGGCCAGGAGTCAGAAGAAATATAGTCTGACCACAGTTCCATTACTTTCTAGCCATTTGGCCCTTTCTGAGCCTAGTTTTGTTATCTGTAAAATAAGGACATTAATACTGAACTCAATTATTTCACAAGATTTTTTTAATAACAGGTGAGGTTTTATATATAGCCTCAAAACTCATATGTAGATAACAGATATTATTAAAATATTTTTGAATGATCTTTATACTAATGCTTATGTTCCTTTAAAATACATTATTTTTATACTAAAAATATTATAACCAAAAATAATAAAATAATATAGGCCTACTCCCAGAAAATTGTATTACCATTTTGAAATAATTCCTCCCTTCCTCCCTTCCTCCCTCCCTCCCTTCCTTCCTGCCTTCCTTCCTTCCTTCCTTCTCTTTATCCCCCTGCACAAACATCTTCTCATATAGCAATATAATATTCATAATTCTCAACTTTAATAGCAAAACTTCATCCAGCAGGCATACATAACTTTCCTAACCATTCTTATGTGGTTGGATATTTAGAATATTTATTATTTTTAACATTATAAATAACACTTCAATGAGTGTACACATAATTGTTTTCATGGACTTTCCCTTAGTAGGAACATTTCTTTTTTTAAACTGGGGACAAGGTCTCACTTTGTCACCCAGGCTGCAGTGCAATTGCAAGATCCTAGCTCACTGCAGCCTTGAACTCCTGGCTCGATATACAGTGTCAAATGTCTTCCCAAAATAATTGTGGCAATTTACAATGTCCTCAGAAATATATAGAGGTAAAAATTTCAATAGGCTGTCACCAGCTGTGGTAGATGCTGCCCTTGGCCTGCTCATATTTCTCAGACTATACCATTCTAGTCTACTCAGGTGACTTCCAATTGCTGATGCCTGTTATCTCTATGCTTGGAGTTTTTCTGAGATGCAGAAGGCATTTCTCTCCGAGTGTGTGCTGCAAGTCAGAAATGCTAGGAAATTAACATGCCTTGGGAGCAGTCCTCAAATAGTGGCTGATGAGAGTTGGTGAAAAGATACCCTTTGAAGTGTGTGCTTTATACTGATCCACAGAATTAAGCTCTATTCACTCACAGTGGTAGCTGGTTTCATAATGCACTCTTGATTGGCTGTTTTCTGTTCCTTGTTTCTATTCCCCAGTCCTTTGCCATGGTTCCCTGTATTGTGCAGATAAACTATCTATACTTGAAGCTTCATCTCAGAGTCAGCTTCTGGAGCAACCCAAAATAAAACACCAGCATTAGTTATCTTCACTCAATTTTTAAATTAGCTAATTTAATAGAAAATGAGTTATCAATTATTTGTAGCAACATAGATAAATCTGAAATACTATTAAATGAAAAAAGCAACCTTCAACGAATTTATAAGTAGAGTAGTATTCATAAAAGAACTCTTATAAAACAACATAGGCAAAATAATGTATACATGCAAAGCAATGAGATACATGCAAAAATTTTCATAAGTGTAAAGTGATATAAAATATGTAACAAAACACACCAATTGAGCATGCTTGAAAATAATAAAGCGAAATTCAGAATTACAATAACCTCTAGAGAGAAGGAGGTTACTGTAGTTAGGAATGTCATTGGGAGGGTTATATAAGGAGGCTTCAAGTGTATTAGTAATGTTTTACTGTTTAAAGTTGCATTACAGTTCTGTATAGCTATATCACTCTATGTCCTTTTTTTGTGTGCCTGAAATATGCTATTATTAACATTATTAATTAAAATATAGACAGAATTAATTATAAAAGTTGTACATTTTCATACGTCAAAAAACGAATGACTCTTTTTCTTCTTTATGTTTTTGGTATTTTCCAAGTCTTTTATCACAAACAACATTGCATTTATAATAAAAAAAAAAGTTTCAAAGGTAATATGATGAAAAGAAGCAAATTTAATTTAAAGTAAAAAAATTACTGACAATGTTTACTTGTTTAAAAAGATACATTCTGGACAGAATAGTGTGTAGAGATTCACACCATAAATTTTTTTCCAAGAACCAGTGCAGGAATTTACCATAAAATCTGAAAGAATCCACAGAGCCTTTGAAATAAGTGACAGGCTGAAGCCTACTCCATGAGACAGGTGAAAAACTGTTAAGTCCCCAGAGTGTGATAGAGGAGAGTCTGCCTCCAGAGGACATATCCCCACCAGGAAATCTGAAAATCCAGGTCTTGGGAGAAGACCTTAACCTTACCCAGAGCTGGAACAAATTGAGGGAGTGGTGTGCAATATAAAAGTAGAAGCAGTAGCAGGAAGTGCCTTGCAAGCAATCCCAGTCTTCAGTGTGAACCCAAGAAAGCCATTACTGACTATATCTCACAGGGGCCCTCAAAGAAGTCAGCCAGTGAGCTCAGGAAGTGGGTTGCAGGTGAAAGAAGCTCCCCACTGAATTTTGTAATATAATCTTGAGTAGGAACAAACTCCCTTGACCAGAACCCAGGGTTGGAAGTGGGGAGCACAAATGGGAATTGCACTGCAGACATGAGCACAGGAGCTGGGTGCCCAGCCTTGTAGAGAGACAGGGATAGGTGTGGCCAGAAAGTGGAGGTTGCTATCTCTGTGGAAAGCTTATGGCCTCGGGCAGGTCTGAGTTCTGTGTGCAGACTGCCTGGATCTTAACCCAGTGCTGTTAGTGGAGCACTGTGGGAGTGAGATTGGCCTCACCAACTGCATGGGAGCTGGGTGAGGCTTACTGCTGCCTGATACTCTCCACTCCCTTTGCAAACTCTTCTGTGCACCAAAGGCAGTTATACTCCCCTCTGGAACTTTATCCCAGTAGCCTGAAACCCTCTCCTTGACCCTCATAGGGCCTGTGGCTAGCCCCACCCAAGGAGAGTCAGAGCACAGACCCGCCTAACCCTATCCCCAACTGGCTGTGCCCCTCCACCCACGCTGATAGCTTAACACAAAGAACATAAACTTTAAGGAGCTTTATAGCTCCACCTATTGCCTGAGAAACCAGAATACTTCCCCTGGGTAACTTAGGGCAAACTCAAATCCTGCTGCTACTACCACAGCTGGTGCTCTTTTAAAGTGCCATCTCTTGGCTGGAGGCCAACCAAAACAGTCCATTACAGCACCTCTAGGTAGAATAATACTGTGTCCAGAATGGAGAAAACGGCTGCATGACCTCAGCTGTACTCATCACCACTGCGTACAACACCCTGGCTAACCAAAGGTTCTAAGTGGGTCCACGTGACAAGTTCACAATAATTATGACCAGCACTTGAGAAAGCCAGCACACTAAGCCTATCAACCAAGGAATCTCACAGAGTCTACGTCACTCCTCTACCACCTTCGTCAGAAATGGTGCTGGTATCCACTGCTGGGAGACTTGAAGACAGGTCACATCACTGAATCCCTTGCAGACATTCCTCAGCACCAGTCTGGAGTCTGGTAACTCCACTCGGTGGCTATACCCAGAAGAGCAATAACAGTTACTGTAGTCTGGCTCTCAGGAATTCCCATTCTTAGGGGAAGGGAGAGAGAACCACATCAAGGGAACACCCCGTGGAACAAAAGAATCTGAACAGCAGTTCTTGAGTCCCAGATCTTTCCACTAATGGGAAGTTTCTTACAGCAGAGACACAATTACAGTGCTGCTCTGAACCTCTATCCCAACAGGGAGGCAACCTCTCTGATCATTAAGGGTCTTGGAGACGGTGTCCTTATTCCCATGAGTACACCACTGAAGACACAGCTGGGGCTTCTCCCACAGGAATGCAACATGGATGCACCTACAGACAGCTTTCCTAGAACAAGTCAGGGTGATTGCATCCCCACAGGAAGAGCACTTTCCAGGTCAGGCTTTCATGAGAGGCAGAGTCACAACTCCTCTTTACTTAGAATATCAACATTCTTACAGATGAAAAGAGGAGCCTGTCTAACCTGAATAGCCAGAACACTGGGATAGAAATGAAGCTGGGAAGTAGATGCCTTCCCTGCTGGCCTGGCAGGGTAGCTGAGGTGCTCCCACCTTTCAACCTGATAAAACCTCTGTACATCTAATTGAGGGCTTCCCAGCCACCTTCAACAAGGCTGGGACGTCTGCCCACCATTGGGTATTACATCTACCCACCTGCTTTAGCTACAACCAGTGCCTACCCAGGGATAACTCCCCTACTAACCTGAAGCCTGGATCATCAAATCAGTAAATAAAACACTGGAGAAAAATTAAGTAAATAAAAAAGCATACACCATGGGAGAATGAGATAAGCTTCAAAAATCCTTGCCATTCCAACCCCATATGAGACAGTGAACTTGCCCACACACCATGAACATAACTACTACAACAAGCATCTGGAAAAGCCAGTGCACAAAGACCCTCTATAACTAAGGAAGTCATACAGAGTCTTTCCTGCTAAAAGCACCAAGAATTAAATTAGCCTGCAATAAACTATAAACGTTAAAGTCAGATTCCTAAGAGGGAAAAAAAGAAATTAAATAAAAACCACAGTCAAATAAAAATAAATTCAAGAAAATTTTGAAGAAAAGTCTATCCAAATGAAAAGGAACCAGAAAAGTAATTCTGGTAATATGACAAAAGAGAGTTCTGTAACACCCCCAAAAGATCAAACTAACTCCCCAAAAATTGCTTCAAACCAAGATGAAATCTTTGAAATACCAGACAAGTCAGAAGGTTGATTATTAAGCTACTCTAGGAAATAACCAGAGAAAGGTGAAAACCAACATAAAAAATGTTTTAAAATTCAGGATATGAATGAAAAAATTTTCAGAGAGATGGATATCATAAAAAAAAACAATCAGAACTTCTGGAAATAAAAGACATACTTAGAGAAATACAAAATTTAGTGAAAATTTCAATATTAGACAAGAACACGTAGAATAAATAATTTCAGAGCTTGAAGACAAGGCTTTTGAATTAACCCAATCAGACAAAGATAAAGAAAAAAGAAGCAAAAGAAATGAACCAAGTTTCCAAGAAATATGGGATTATGTAAAATGGCCAAACCTAAGAATAATTGATGTTCCTGAGGGGGAAGAGAAGTCTAAGAGTTTGGAGAACTTATTTTAAGGAATAATTGAGGAAAACTTCCCTTGCCTTGCTAGATATACAGATATCAAAATACAAGAAGCTTAGATTCCTGGGAAATTCCATTGCAAAAAGATTATCACCAAAGCACGTAGTCATTAAGCTATCTAAAGCCAACATGAAGAAAAGGATTTTGGTAGCTGTGAGACAAAAGCATCAGGTAACCTATAAAAGAAAAACTATCAGACTAACAGCAGATTTCTCAGCAGAAACCTTACAAGCCAGAAGGGATTGGGGTCCTATCTTTACCCTCCTTAAATTGTCAGCCAAGAATTTTGCATTCTGCAAAACTAAGCTTCATAAATGGAGAGATAAAGTATTTTTCAACAAATGCTGAGGAAATTTTCCACTACCAAACCAGCACTACAATAAATGCTAAATGGAGTTCCATATCTTGAAACAAAACCTTGATCTATATCAAAATGGAACCTCCTTAAAGCATAAATCTCACAGGGCCTATAAAACATTAACATAATGAAGAAAAACAAAGTATCTAGGTAAAAACTAATATGATGAATAGAACAGTACTTCACATCTTAATATTCAGGTTGAATGTAAATAGCCTAAATGCTTCACTTGAAAAGGTACAGAATAGCAGAATGGATTAAAAAACCGCTAACCAAATGTCTACTGTCTTCAAGAGGCCCATCTAACACAAAAGGACTCACATAAACTCATGGTTAAGGGGTGGAAGAAGGTATTCCACGCAAATGGAAACTGACACATAAACTCATGGTAAAGGGGTGGAAGAAGGTATTCCACTCAAATGGAAACTGAAAGCAAGCAGGAGTCACTATTCTTACATTAGACAAACCAGACTTTGAAACAATACAATAAAAAAAGACAAAGAAGGACATTATATAATAACAAAATGATTAGTTCAACAAGAAGATATTACAATCCTAAATTTATATGCACCTAACACAGGAGCTCCAAGATTTATAAAACAATTACTGCTAGATCTAAAAGCAACTCACCCTCCAAACTATACAAATACATGGAAATTAAATAATCTGCATTTGAATAATTTTGGGGTTAATAATGAAATTAAGATGGAAATTGAAAATTATTGGAAATGAATGATAAAGTGACACAACTTATCAAAACCTCCGGGATACAGCAAAAGTAGTACCAAAAGGAAAGCTAATAGTATTAAATGCCTACATCAAAAAGTCTGAAACAGCAAAAATAGACAACCTAATGTCACACCTCAAGGAAATAGAGAAACAATAACAAAGCAAATCCAAATGTAGCAGAAGGAAAAAAAAAACAAAGATCAGAGCAGAACTAAATGAAATTGAAACAAAAAAAAAAACGATAAATGAAACAAAAAGCTGGTTCTTTGAAAAGATAAACAAAATTGATAAACTATTAGTGAGATTAACCAAGAAAAGAAGAGAGAACATTCAAATAAGCTGAATTAGAAATGAAACTGGCAATATTACAACAGATACTACAGAAATAAAAAAATAACATTCAAGGCTAGTATGAACACCTTTATACACACAAACTAGAAAATCTAGAGGAAATGGATAACTTCCTGGAAACATGTAATTCTCCTAGATCAAATCAGGAAGAACTAGAAACCCTGAACAGACCAGTAACAAGCAGCAAGATTAAATCAGTAATGAAAAAATTGCCAACACAGAAAATTTCAGGACCAGATGGATTCATAGCTGAATTCAAAGAATATTCAAAGAAGAGTTGGCATCAATTCTACTGAAACTATTCGAAAAGATAAAGAGGGAATCCTCCCTAAGTTATTCTGAAGCCAGTATAACACTAATACCAAAACCAGGAAAGGACACAAGAGAAAAAGAAAACTGCAAACCAATATCTCTGATAAAAACAGATGCAAAATCCTCAACAAAATACTAGCTAACTGAATCCAAAAGCACATCCAAAAGATAATACATCATGATTGGCTGGGCGCAGTGGCTCATGCCTGTGATCTTATCACTTAAACCCAGAAGGTTAAAACCAGCCTGGACAACATGGCAAGACCCCATCTCTACAAAAAATACAAAAATTCGCTGGTAGTACACACATGTTCTCCCAGGTACTCGCGAGGCTGAGGTGGAAGGATCGCTTGAGCCCATGAAGCAGAGGTTGCAGTAAGCTGAGATTGTGCCACTGTCCTCCAGCCGAGGCAACAGAGTTAGACTCTGTCTCAAAAAAAAAAAAAAAAGAAAAAGAAAAAAAAAAGAAGAAAAAAGAGATAATACATCACGATCAAGTGGGTTTTATCTCAGGGATGCAGGGATGATTCAACATATGCAAGTCAATATATGTGATACATCACATAAACAGGATTAAAAACAAAAATAATTATCTCAATAGATGCAGAAAAAGCATTTGACAAAATGCAGCATCCCTTTGTGATAAAACCCTCAGCAAAAATAGGCATAGAAAGGATTTACCTCAAAGTAATAAAAGTAACATATGACAAATCAACAGCCAACATCATACTGAATGGGAAAAAGTTGAAAGGATTCCCCCTGAGAACTGGAACAAGACAAGGATGCACACTTTCACCACTTCTGTGCAACATAGTACTGGAAGTTTTAGCCAGAGCTATCAGACAAAAGAAATAAATAAAGGGCATCCAAACTGGAAAAGAAGAAGTCAAACTATCTCTGTTCACCCATGATATGATCATATACCTAGAAAACCCCAAAGACCCATCCAAAAAGCTCCTGCATTTGATAAACTCAGTAAAGTCTCAGGTTACAAAATTAATGTACACAAATCAGTAGCACTGCTATACACCAACAACAATTAGGCTGAGAATCAAATCAAGAACTCAATCCCTTTTGCAACAGCTGCAAAAATAAAAATAAGAACACAAAAATCTAGGAATATCCTTAACCAAGTAGGTGAAAGATCACCTACACTGCTGAAGGAAATCATAGATGACACAAACAAATGGAAACACATCTCCTGCTCATGGATGGGAAGAATCAGTGTTGTGAAAATATCCAAATTCACAAATAAATCTACAGATTCAATGCAATTCCCATCAAAATATCCATCATCGTTCCCCACAGAACTAGAAAAAACAATCCTAGAATTAATATGGAATCACAAAAGAGCCTATAGCCAAAGCAATACTAAGCAAAAAGAACAAATCTAGAAGCATCACATTACCCAACTTTAAATTATACTACAGGGCTATAATTAGCAAAACAACATGGCACTGGTATAAAAATAGGCATATAGACCAATGGAACTGCATAGAGAACCCAGAAGTAAAGCCAAATACTTACAGCTAACTAATCTTCGACAAAGCATACAAAAACATAAACTGTATATTCAATAAATGGTGATGGGAAAACTAGCAAGCCACATGTGGAAGAATGAAACTAGATCCTCATCTCTCACCTTCTACAAAAATCAACTCAAGATCAATCAAAGACTTAAATCTAAGACCTAAAATCATAACAATTCTGGAAGATAACATCAGAAAACTCTTCTGGACTTTGGCTTAGGCAAAGAATTCATTATTAATATCCCAAAAACAAATGCAACCAAGTGAAAAATAAATAAGTGTGACCTACTTAAACTAAAAAGCTTCTGCACAGCAAAAGAAATAATCAGTAGAGTAACAGACAACCCACAGAGTAGGAGAAAATATTTGCAAACTATGCATCTGACAAAGAACTAGTATCCAGAATCTACAAGGAACTCAAACAAATCAGCAATAATAATAATAATAAAACCTGTCAAAAAGTGGGCAAAGGACATGAGTAAACATTTTTCAAACGAAGATACACAAACAGCCAACAAACGTATGAAAAAATGCTCACCATTGCTAATCATCAGGGAAATGTAAATTAAAACCACAGTAAGATATTACCTTACTCTTGCAAGAATGGCCGTTTAAGTAAAAAGTCAAAAAACAATAGATGTTGGCATGGATGTGGTGAAAAGGAAACACTTTTATATTGCTGGTGGGAATGTAAATTAGTACAACCACGATGGAAAACAGTATGGAGATTCCTTAAATAACTAAAAGTAGAACTATCTTGCAGCAATATGTGGTAGATCCAGCAGTTCCACTACTGGGTATCTACTCAAAGGAAAGTAAGTCATTATATGAAAAAAAAAACATGCACACTCATGTTTAAAGCAGCACAATTTGCAATTGCAGAGATATTAAACCAACCTAAGCGCCCATTGACCAACGAGTGGATAAAGAAAATGTGATATATATACCCCATGGAATACTACTCAGCCATAAAAAAGGAATGAAATAATGACTTTTGCAGCAGCTTGGATAGAGTGAGAGGCCATTATTCTAAGTGAAGTAATGCTGGAATGGGAAACCAAATATTGTATGCTCTTACTTATAAGTGGGAGCTAAGCTACAACGATGCAAAGGCATAACAGTACTATAATGGACTTTGTGGACTCAGAGGGAATAGTTGTGGGGGTAAAAGGCTATATATTGGGTACAATGTGTACTGCTTGGGTGACAAGTGCACTAAAATCTCAGAATTTACCATTAAAGAACTTATCCGTGTAAGCAAAAACCACCTGTACCCCCAAAACTACTGAAATTTTAAAAAAGAAACTACTGATACAACAACATGAATGAATCTCAAAAGCATTACTGTAAGTGCAAGAAGCCAGACACACAACAGTACACACTACACAATGTCATTTATATGAAACTCTAGGAAAGACAAATCTAATCAATAATGATACAAGACCAGTTATTGCCTGGAACCAGGGACAGCAGTGAGGGAAGAAGTAAAAGAAACATTTTGAGATTATGGAAATGTCCTATAACTTGATGGTGATGATGATTACATGGTTCTTTTAATTTGTCAAAATACATTAAGCCTTACACTTAAAATATATATTTTGGCTGGGCGTGGTGGCTCAAGCCTGTAATCCCAGAACTTTGGGAGGCCGAGGCAGGCGGATCACGAGGTCAGGAGATCAAGACCATCCTGGCTAACATGGTGATGATGATTACATGGTTCTTTTAATTTGTCAAAATACATTAAGCCTTACACTTAAAATATATATTTTGGCTGGGCGCGGTGGCTCACGCCTGTAATCCCAGAACTTTGGGAGGCCAAGGCAGGCGGATCACGAGGTCAGGAGATCAAGACCATCCTGGCTAACATGGTGAAACCCCGTTTCTACTAAAAATTCAAAAAATTAGCCGGGCGTGGTGGCAGGCGCCTGTAGTCCCAGCTAATCGGGAGGCTGAGGCAGGAGAATGGCGTGAACCCGGGAGGAGGTGCTTGCAGTGAAGCCCAGATGGCGCCACTACACTCCAGCCTGAGCGACAGAGCGAGACTCCATCTCAAAAAAAAAAAAAAAAAAAAAATATATATATATATATATATATTTTCTTTTGTATAATTATACCTCAGTAAAGTTAATTTTAAAAAGAAAAAAGTAAAAGGAACTATTTAACATAGCACATCTTGATTTTGTTAGGCATATGTGTATTATCGCATGTGTTTTTAAATTAAGTATAACTTGCCTGGCTTTGTGTGTAATTAAACAAATTGAAAACTATCAGAAGGAGAGCAAATAAAGGAAATAAATATGACATTTTAACATGGTGGATCTAAAGAATTCCTAGACAGCCACCAGGTCTATCTCTAGCATTCATACATTTCTTCATATATTAATTCATTAAACATTGGAACACTTACCATGTGTCAGGGACTGCGCCATACATGATGACTCTGTCTTTAAGATTTTACAATACACTGGAAAGACAAACAATAATTACACTATAACATTATATATGGGGCTATATAAAAAATGCTGTGGGTACATAAATGTTGGGGCCACTGGTGGCTTGATTTCAGCATTTAGCCAAATAGTATCATACGCAGATTTCAAATCAGAAGTTCTAGAGAATAAAATGAGATTAAAACCTGACCTACATTACTTTTAAGTTAAAAAAAAGTATGTGGAATAATTTTTCCTGGGATGAGGGACGCAGGGTTGGAGAAATGCAAAGAAAAAGCAATTTATGGCCCTTGAATTTGGATTCATTTTGTTTGTATATTTTTTCTTAGAAGTTTATAGTAATTCATTACACTGCTTTTCAAATAGATTTGATGAACATTTGTGATAAAGACACAAAAAGATGTCAGATTTGTGAGTTGTCAAATCAAGTCCAAATTAATCTTGAAAAAACTACCCATTTCTTCTCAATATCCATGAAAAAAAGAAATACAGATACCAGCACTGAGGGGAAATAAAATGGTTTTATCTCATTTTATATGGGGAAGAAATAACATTTATTGGGCCGGGCGCTGTGGCTCATGCCTGTAATCCTAGCACTTTAGGAGGCCAAGGCGGGCAGATCACGAGATCAGGAGATCGAGACCATCCTGGCTAACACAGTGAAACCCCGTCTCTACTAAAAATACAAAAAATTAGCCGGGCGTGGTGGTGGCCGCCTGTAGTCCCAGATACTCAGGAGGCTGAGGCAGGAGAATGGCGTGAACCCGGGAGGCAGAGCTTGCAGTGAGCTGAGATCACGCCACTGCACTCCAGTCTGGGCGACAGAGCAAGACTCCGTCTCAAAAAAAAAAAAAAGAAAAGAAAAGAAAAAAGAAATACATTTATTTAGAACACATTAACTGGGATAAACAGACAAAAGCATAGTTAGAGGAGTTTTTTTTTTGTAAAATTTAAGATAAAGGGGTAAAACTTAGTGGGCAGGAATTATTACAGGATAGTTTTAAAGAGAGAAACAATCTGATTTATGAGAAGTTAAGAAATACTGTTTAAATTAGAAGGAAATGTAGATAGAAATGTCCAGGAAGATGGATTCTACTTTAAATGTGAGTAAAATGAGGCTGGGAACCATGGCTAAAAATTAAATCAGGGTTCAACGAAAACATTTTCACAGGATTTGGAAAATAAGTTAGCATCACGTATGATGCTTCTGCTTCAAAGTGGTAAGTTTGCTACTTACATGAACAAAAAGGTGACATAGTTGTTTTTTATTGTGTATTTTTATCTTATTTTATTTAACCTTTCCTTTTCGGTATCTTTCAAGCATTTTGAATTCTACGTGTTCAAAATGGAGCTCATCAATTTCCCATGCAAAACTAATTTTCCTCTGGACTTAATCTATTGTGATGAATTATAACACTATCTAGTCATCTAGATGCCAAAATGTTCTTTTGTCTTTTCAATTCCCTATATTAAATTATTTGCCTAGTTGTGCAGGTTCTCTTTGTCTAAGCCATCTTTCCTTCCTTCCCATTTCCGCAGTCACTACCCTGATCTTGGTCTCTGTTGCTCCTTGCCTGGGCCCACAGAGCCTGTCTCACATTGTGCATGGTTAATAATGTTACTCTTGATAGCCAGGCCTAATTATATCACTTCCTGATATGGCTTGGCTGTGTCCCCACCCAAATCTCATCTTGAATTGTAGTTCCCATAATCTCCATGTGTCGTGGGAGGGACCTGGTGGAAGGTAAACGAATCATGGGGTCAGTTACCCTCATGCTGTTGTTCTCATGATAGTAAGTGAGTTCTCACAAGAACTGATGGTTTCATAAGAGGCTTTTCCCTCTTTTGCTCCTTTTTCTCCTTCCTGCCACCATGTAAAGAAGAACATGTTAGCTTTCCATTCTGCCATGATTGCAAGTTTCCTGAGGCCTCCCAGCCATGCTGAACTGTGAGTCAATTAAACTTCTTTCCTTTATAAATTACCCAGTCTTGGGTATGTGTTCATCAGCAGCTTGAGAATGGACTAGTACACTTCCCCTGCTCCAACCATTTTCATGACTTCTCATGACTTCAGAATCTACTCAGGAGTTCAAGGTTGCCATAATTTACCTACCACCTACTTTCCAAAGTTTATTTTCAATGACTTCCTTATAGTCTTCTTACATTCTAATAAAACTGGCCTTTCCACTGATGCCCTGACACAACACCTGCTTTTCCATCTTCATATCTTTGCAATTGTGTTTGCGGTGCATGGAATATCCTCCCTTTCCTCCTCTATCCCATATGCCCTAACCTATCTTCATCCCTCTGTAAAGATCTCTGGTACATCAAATTCTTAGGGCCTTTTCTCTTGTTTAAACTTTTACAATACTTTTGTATTTTTGTGCTGCATCCTTTCTGTTACAAGAACATATAATTTTAATTTTCTGTACTACATTACAGCACTTTCCAGAGCAGGAATTTGTATATTACTCATATTTATGGCTCTTTAATCAATAATTAGTAAAAAAGCAAAGTATTATTTTTTAAAATATCATGTATTTTATGATTTATTCAAATTTTAAAATTTGAGATGTATCAGTTCCTAATGAAAAGTACTATACAACAAAATGAAAATTACTCTCTAGTATTTTCTCTAGGCCCCATGTATCAAGATCAGGTTGTAAATAAAGAATATTTTTACTGCAAATAAAGCAGCAACCTCTTCAGGTTCAGCTTGGAGAAATCTGAATTATTCTCACACAAGTAGCCACATAAATAAATCTTATCTGCACCTTGACACAATGTGTTTAACAAACGTCAATTAAACACAGCTGGTTTCTTCTCAGTCAGAGAAATTAAGGTGCAAATAAAAGAAGACATCGTATATAGATACATATTGTAGTTAGCCTTGTTCTAAGATTATTAAAAATAGGTCTTAAGGTGCTTTCTATTCAGTAAAATTAATACCTCTCATTTAATTTTTAAAGTAAAAAATTATGTTCAGTGAATTTTTACTGAAATTATTTCATCACTATTTTTATATTTGACCTGTGTTGCTAGTTTGATATATAAAAGCATTTAAAATTTGTTTTTCTATCTTCAAAAAAACTAGAAAGTTCTATGTGAATGTAGTCAAATTCAAACATATTTGCTTGAGGATTCTTCTTTAGGCAGAAATGTTTCACGTGGAGTCTAAGCATGCAAACATTTTCTACTATCTTAAATTATAAATTACAGAAAACAAATAAAGCTCTAGAAATTGGAACTTGGTTGATTTTGATGGGAAACTGGGACCTCTGGAAAATGATGTTGGCATCTAATGATGTTATTTGTTTTTATCTATTATATTAAATAAAGGTAATTGCTAAGCTTATTGCCCATTAGTATGTTATTCATTAAGTGAACTATTAAAATACATTTCACCTATGTTATGCTTTTTCTCATTCTCTTCTTCTGTAAAGATTAACTGGCTTTTTCCTTAGCATAATATTAAAGTGAATTGTTTGCCTACATAGGGTTTGCCCCATCTCAGATTGTAAAGCCTCCCTGAACACTAGGCTTTTCAGGCTGCTGAAACTTGGGGACTGGTTTTATCCTGTATCATATCTATATGCACTATACACTACAAGCAGCAGAAAATATATTATTTTGTCTTGTATCTTCTTAGTTCCCAGCATACCACCTTCCCCCCACCAACTTTTAAAAAAGATTGAATCTGTTTTAGTGAGCCTCCAGAATGAAATGTTAATGGATAAACGAAACAGGAAGGGTTGTTTGTTTTTACCAAATTGCACTGAATACCTTGTCTGACATAACCTGTGGTCAATCTTTTCTTTTACACCCTCTAGAAAACATGTGAGTCATAGTTGATGGGGAAACAGTCATTATCATCAATTCTTGTCTGTGCTACCACTAGGTGGATGGTGCAGATTCTGTATTACAGACTGTAGCCTGCCAAATACCCAGGATCTTCCATCAATCACAGGCTGGAGATATACCTCGAGTCCCACCAGAGCCAGGGACTTTTAGTTATTGCACAGGCGGAATATCAACTAACTCTTCAAATAGCTCTAGTAATTTTGTGGAAATAAAAATTTAACTACTGCGTCACACTGTGATTTGGAAGAATTTAACCATTATAATACCATCATCATTTTTCTACATAGAGGACAGAATAGATGTTTCAGGTCTGAAGCAATTTCTTGGTATTGCAATGTAAGATTTCCTGGGAAATGTTGGTTTCAATGTAGAGAATTTCTTCCTACTTTATCAGTCATCTCGAAGTTGTTTTTGTTATAACATTTCTTTTACAATATAAGACTATCCTTTCCATCTTGACTTATGATTGTTAGTTATTATTAAAACTAGGCATTGTTAAGCATGAAAAGCTGAAAAGAAAATAAGAATTAATGCAAATTACTTGGTCAGAGAGCCTCACAAAGGACTTAAATAGATTTGGAATGAAAAATAGCAAGACTAGGTTAATTTAAATAACTTGCCATATAAATGTTGGAAAGCAATTACCAAAATCCCTAAAATTTTAAGCATCAAGATTAAAGGTTTAAAATTAATTCATTTTCTCTTACACAAACATAATCCTCCTTTTAACGTGCTTTGTTCTTTTAATTCTGTGATTTACCTAGGTGCATTTGCATTTATTGTATTTTTTTTTCTGTTTTTCTTCCTTATGATGTCTTAATCTCCTTTGTGGGCAGGGACCATTAAAAATCTTTAATTGTGCCAGATGTTTCTGACTACCGAGTCAACATTCACTGATTGAGCCATGAAGATTGAGCTATGATGATACTGCCATCTTTCTATCCATTACAAATGTAAAGTTTTTTTCTAGCTTTCTATCTCTATGGGCAAGTGTGGTCTCAATGGAAGGTGAGCAATGAGTGTAGGTGTGGGATATGACATCATTTTAATTTTTTAAGTGTTTATGTTCTCTTACAAATTTATACTGCAGAGATGGTCTTTTACCACTATGAGCCATATAACGTGATGTACATAGCAGTTGCTTGAAAAACATTTGCACTTCTTGATGATAGATGAGGACTTTGTAGTTGCTTATTTTTTGTCATCTTTATGGAACTAACATGGTAACAGTTATATCCTAATAGAAAAAAGTTAAAGTCCTAAAATCATCCAGGTCATTCTTAAGCAGGGCTGGAATGTCTCAGAATTTAGTAGCTATTCTTCACCAAGCAGAACTTAGTCATACCACTGTGGACTTCCCTTATTTTCTCCTATTTGCCACAAAAAAAGCAAGTGAAATAATGTAAGAGAGGGATAAGGAGATGTGGCTACTGTTTAACAACCCATCCAGTTGTTGGCTCGTGGCTTTCATCCAGATGAGAATGATTAGGAATGACTCCAAAGGCCAAAAAATGTTTATATTCCATAATGTGACATTAAACATTTCTGAATCCAAAGTCTGAATTTTATTTTTCTCAAAAGCCATTTGCACTAATGTTTGTATTATAAACATGTCCCTCAAAGAGGTTGAGCTAGAAATGGTATTATCTGATGGAGGGGCTAGACATATAGATATGTAACCAGTTATCTTTTCTATCCTATGTTCTTATAACAGAAGCTACCTTCTTTGAAGCTGTGTTGAGGTGTTGATAGAAAGTGCATTTCTTTTGTACTGCTTGTGATAAAGGAACTCATGGCCAGGTTAATATTACATATAAACATGTTTAAGTACAGACTGTAATAGAGGCTCCACGAGGTCAGGGATTTTTGTGTTTTTTTGTTCTCTTATGTATCCCAAGACCTAAAACAGTACCTAACACATAGTAATTACTAAGGAAATAGTTACTGAATGAAAGACTAGAATATGGTCACATTATTCTTGCATTTTGTTTTCTTTGGCTATGCAAGTTGTATCATATTTTCCTGTTTTCATAATCATCTTCTGAATATTGATTAATACTTAGTCATATGAAGAAATATTAATATAAGATATAGAATAGTCTTAACAATCAAGATAGAAAAAACATTTATACCCCAAGTGTTTTCTTTCTTTTCCTTTTTTCTATTTATCTTAAATAGGTTGATTATGTTTTGATTTCATTGTATAATACACTGTTGAGGTCAAACAAACGAAGCTTTAGTGAAGATTATTTTGAAAGAAACAATAGAGCATTTAATAATTTTATTTGCAAAATATATTTCAGAAACATTTTATTTCTAGCCTTAAACAGAAATCTTAATAATATCTTCTACATTATGCAGGCAGCAAACTGTGAGATAGGCATGCCCAAGCATTTCTAGGGAAGGACTTATACATTCTTAATAGCAATTTTAATTGTTCCCAGAATTGAGAATTTTTATTCTAATAATGACATGGGTAATATGCCAATAAGATACATATTAAAGGTGAGACCTAAAATTCATCTTGCAAAATAAAATTATTCACAAATGACTTTCTGAAATACCTCTTTAGGATTCTTCTTTGCTTTCCAGGCTGTTCCACGAAATTTTTGCTGCTATTACTTTAGTATGCTACTACACCCCTTCCCACTGCTTACTTTAAGAAAATCCCCTCACACTGAATACGCACATATACATTTTGTAATGTTAATTCTAGTCTGTCTTTTCAGTTATCTTCTTGGCACAAATATCACCTCTAATAAACACCATTAATCATAATGATGGTATTAATATCAATAACAATGATTACCCATTCTAGATTAGTTTATTCATTTTCATTGACTTAAAATGATTACTTCTTGACTTGAGAGGTAAGTAGTTCCTTAGAGACCTCTGAGACTAGTGAGAATAGAGCAAAGAGGCCAACTGTTAGGCTTGTCAGACTTCCTTTTTTATGCTGGGCTATGCCCCTTTTCGCAGTTTCACTTGGATGAAGAACTGGAGATTTAGTAGTTAGTGTCTTTGCAGTGTGGGAGTGTCTAACTTGGGAAGTCATAGAAGAATGAGGGAAAGTCTTATCTATTTATTTCTCTGGTATTTTTCTGGTAGCTGAATTGATTTAATTTTACCCGTGAGAGATTACACATCATTAAGGATTGTGAGTGAGGCAAATGGCTATTTAAAGGTTGACAGTGTGAAAAAACTAATTAAAACATGCACAGTCTAATCAGAAAGAAAATATATGAGAAAAGGGGAGAATGTAAAAATGGTTAAGTTATTAAGCATGCACAAGATCTCAGGATAGTATCTCCATCTTATTGCTACATATTTCACCAAATAAGGATTATTTTTTTCTTATCTCATGGTAACATCAAATGAATAAGTTCAAATTTACATCTACAAACCAGAGATTAAATATGTCAATAAAAAAGTGAAATATCTGTTGGAAATGATAATCATAAATTAAGTAAGCCATAAATAGAATTTCAATGAGGTGTTTTGATTTGTGTGAATGAATTCATTAAATAAATATTATAGCAGCAAGTTAGAGGCCTGTAATATACTGACTAACTACCTAGTGGGATTCTTTTCCACTGCATTCCAAATTTATAAGAAATACGCAAAAATTAAGTAAAGAAATAGGTCTCAGAGATTATTAACTTTTATGTCATGTAGACTTAAATACAGTTTTAATGAACAGAACTGAAGAAAAATTGAATTATATTTACCATTTTTTATGCTTAGAAAAGTGGCTTCAATTTATTAAGAAAGAATCTTGAAATGGAAGATTGAAACTAAGTATGAATTGTCTGTTTAATTTACTGTTATCTCAAAATATTAAATTTATTAAATACTGTATTCACAAAGTGTTACTGAGATAGGACGTGGGATGCAACTGTGGAGGGGCTCAGACACTGGGACACAATGGGGACTAGGTAAAACAGGGATGGGGCAGAAACATCTCTCCATAAGACAAGCCCACCAATGTGCCATGTCAGTTTACCATTGCCATGGCAACATCTGTAAGTTACTGCCCCTTTCCATGTCAATAACCTAACAGCATGAAAGTTACCACTCTTTTTCTAGAAATTTCTGCATAATCTGTCCCTTAATTTGCATATAATTAAAAGTGGGTATACATATGACTGCAGGACTGCCTCTGAGCTGCTATTCTGGGCACACTGCATATAGGATAGCCGTACTCTCCAAGAAACAGCACCTCCGCTGCTGCTGTATGCTGTCACTTCAATAAAAGTTGATGTCTAACACCACCAGCTCACCCTTGAATGTTTTCCTTAGCAAAGCCAAGAACCCTCCTGGGCTAAGCCCCAATTTTAAGACTTGTCTGCCCTGCACCTTTATGATCAATGCAAGAGTCTCCTGTACAATAAGGTATACAAATAGCAGCAGATGGTCTACTGAATAATTGAACATCTTTCAACTTCACTTGGCCTGTTAGGACTACCCTTCACCTGGTACTTTTCTAACAGTTGACTTAGTTGTTGGGCTAAAGCTAAAAGGGGCCAGAGATAATTTTAATTTCTTTTCTCTCTCACTGGAATAGAGGTCTCACAAGGTCAAGGCTCCACAAGGCTCAGTGCTAAAGGAGAGGAATCTTAAAAATGGTAAAAATTGTTATAGTTTTCTTTTTGGTCTTTAATAAGATTAAATTCAACAGTCTAAAGCTAAAGAAACATTAAGTCTATAGAAGTGAAATTAATTATGTAAGTGAACACTGCAAATTATTGAAAAAACAATAGTTAAAACCTAATTTCTTTACTTCTGGTCCAATGTTCTTTCCATGCCACTATCCTGCTTCCTCCAAGCATTTTGTTACAAAATTTTTTAAAATGTGCAACAATATATTTTCTTGAATTATCCAGAACGGTTATTCCTAATGTGTTTGGGGTGTTATTACTTACGTGTTATGTTAATTATGCTGAACCTTTGTAAAATGTATGTATAACTTGTTTTTCTCTTTCTCTCTCTTAGGTTTTTCTTTCGTTTAAAGATGACACACTCTGAAATTAATTTGATTTTGAGATTTGAGAACTTGGACATACATACTTCCTATGGAAGGTAACATCTTTTTGGTAGTGATCACGTTTTGTCATGTTTATGTGCCTAGCAGCTAATAGAATGCCTGGTGCATAATAAACATTCCCATAACTGAATTAAACAAGTTGATACAATTGACATGTTTTGTGAAATCTTGCTTTAAAAATCATCTACTCAAGAGAGTGCTTCAAGTTTCCACTTTGTGTGGGTAGACACTGTCTAAATTGAAAGTAAACTGTGATCTGTTGAACCAAGGATGGCATTATCAAACTTATTTATGGTTCTGTCCTGGTTAGGTTTTTCATTATTTGTGTTGTGATTGTTAAGTGCAGTCTTGATACCATCATATGATTTTTCTCATTTTAATGTAACTATATTTTCTATAATTTATTCCCATCTGTCCTTTCAGCTGACTGATAATTCCACATTACAAATTACGTTGTCTTTATTTTGATTCATGTTTTTGTCCTCATATAGTCCTTTTGCCTTTGATGCTACTACAACTTCAAAGAGAGTTTAAATAAATGAAGAGAATGTGTAGGCTCAGTGCTAAAGAGCAGAAATCTTGAAAAATGTGGATTAAAAAATGGTTATATTTTTCTCTTCAGTCTTTACTGAGTATTAAATTCACCAAAGTCTCTTTTTGAGAAAGTCCTTTCCCTGTACTTCCCCTCTACTGACCCCTTCTTTATTTCGCATGTGTGTGTACTCCTTATAATTGATGATATAGCCAAGGGAAGGGCTTATGTTTAGGCAGACAACGGAGCAGATGGGTCTTAAACAGATTTGGGAAGCTAGAATCTGGAGAACATAAGAAACAACTCCAAGAACTCTCTCAGTACTGGGCACTGCATTTCCAGGAAATTACAGCTTTAGGGCCACAGAAAATATATTAAGCAACTGTTATAACAAATTTCCCTCTGCCTCCACCTGGGTGGGGTGGTAGGAGGGAGCGATAACTTCACTCCAGTATATAATGTTTGCAGAGAAGGGTACCAAGCAGCCTCTTTATTAAATAAAACAAACTAAATAAGCAATGTGGTTTTTTTTTTATTGTACTTTAAGTTTTAGGGTATATGTGCACAATGTGCAGGTTTGTTACATATGTGTACATGTGCCATATTGGTGTGCTGCACCCATGAACTCTTCATTTAGCATTAGGTAGATCTCCTAATGCTATCCCTCCCCCGTCCTCCCACTCCACAATAGGCCCCGGTATGTGATGTTCCCCTTCCTGTGTCCATGTGTTCTCATTGTTCAATTCCCACCTATGAGTGAGAACATGCGGTGTTTGGTTTTTTATCCTTGCGATAGTTTGCTGAGAATGATGGTTTCCAGCTTCATCCATGTCCCTACAAAGGACATGAACTCATCCTTTTTTATGGCTGCATAGTATTCCATGGTGTATATGTGCCACATTTTCTTAATCCAGTCTATCATTGTTGGACATTAGGGTTGGTTTCAAGTCTTTGCTATTGTGAATAGTGCTGCAATAAACATACGTGTGCATGTGTCTTTATAGCAGCATGATTTATAATCCTTTGGGTATATACCCAGTAATGGGATGGCTGGGTCGAATGGTATTTCTAGTTCTAGATCCCTGAGGAATTGTCACACTGACTTCCACAATGGTTGAACTAGTTTACAGCCCCACCAACAGTGTAAAAGTGTTCCTATTTCTCCACATCCTCTCCAGCACCTGTTGTTTCCTGACTTTTTAATGATCGCCATTCTAACTGGTGTGAGATGGTACCTCATTGTGGTTTTGATTTGCATTTCTCTGATGGCCAGTGATGATGAGCATTTTTTCATGTGTCTTTTGGCTGCATAAATGTCTTCTTTTGAGAAGTGTCTGTTCATATCCTTCGTCTACTTGTTGATGGGGTTGTTTTTTTCTTGTAAATTTGTTTGAGTTCATTGTAGATTCTGGATATTAGCCCTTTGTCAGATGAGTAGATTGCAAAAATTTTCTCCCATTCTGTAGGTTACCTGTTCACTCTGATGGTAGTTTCTTTTGCTGTGCAGAAGCTCTTTAGTTTAATTAGATCCCATTTGTCAGTTTTGGCTTTTGTTGCCATTGCTTTTGGTGTTTTAGACATGAAGTCCTTGCCCATGCCTATGTCCTGAATGGTATTGCCTAGGTTTTCTTCTATGGTTTTTATGGTTTTAGGGCTGATATTTAAGTCTTTAATCCATCTTGAATTAATTTTTGTGTAAGGTGTAAGGAAGGGATCGAGTTTCAGCTTTCTACATATGGCTAGCCAGTTTTCCCAGCACCATTTATTAAATAGGGAATCCTTTTTGTCAGGTTTGTCAAAGATCAGATAGTTGTAGATATGCAGCATTATTTCTGAGGTCTCTGTTCTGTTCCATTGGTCTAGATTCAATGCCATCCCCATCAAGCTACCAATGACTTTCTTCACAGAATTGGAAAAAACTACTTTAAAGTTCATATGGAACCAATAAAGAGCCTGCATTGCCAAGTCAATCCTAAGCCAAAAGAACAAAGCTGGAGGCATCACACTACCTGACTTCAAACTATACTACAAGGCTACAGTAACCAAAACAGCATGGTACTGGTACCAAAACAGAGATGTAGACCAATGGAACAGAATTTTTTGTAGTTTTTTAAAAAATCACACATTTTGCAGCCTTCGTGTATTTGTATAAATATCTGTTTACACATTGCTTTGTTTTCTGGTATTATTTCTTGTTAATTCCTTAAGGAAACATTGTAGACTCTTATATATGCCTTGTATATTCTTGTTCAGTGAATGAATAACTTAAGAACAGAAATATGTCATGTAGATATATAAATTTCTGAGAAATAATCTAGTCCTATCTCCAAATTACTGAAGACAAAGAAACAGAAACTTGGAGAGGCTGCACAACTTCTAATCAGCAGCAGAAAGGGTTAGTCTTGGTTTCTTTTGATTCCCACTGCAATGTGTTTTCCATCAGAAAAATACAACTGCTGCCAAACTGATAGACTTCCTATAACTCTAGACTACAGGATTGAAGAGGTTGTTATTTTAGTGCTGAGCCTTTATGACCTAATATAACTTCCTAGCACAGGAATATCTCTTCAACTAAGATGTATGCCACAACCTAGAAATTTTACTTCTCAATATCTACCCTAGAGTAATGCATGTTTATAAGGATTCATAAAAAAGGATGTTGCAGCAATGTTTGTAATAATAAAGTTGTGGAGAGAACTTAAATGTTTTTGCGTAGGGGAATGGTTAAATAAATGTTAATATTTTTATTCCATGAAATACTATGCAACAATTTAAAAGAATGAGTCATACCTATGTTTGGCAAAAACAGCTGAATTCCAGGATGTTGTATTACAGTGTGTACAACACATAGCCATGTAAAAAGCAATATTATATAATATATCTAGATCCATGTGATGTGTGTGTAAAAGCATTAACAAAGGGTGGGAATTAAATATGTTAAACTGAGATAGAGATAGTCACCTATGAGGATGGTGGGACTAAAAGTTGAAGGTGGCTGTCAAAGGTGATTTGATTTCATCTCCATGTCTTAAATTTGTAAAAAAATAAAATGTATTTATAAATGTATCAGTGTAATGTAAAAACAAGTTGGTTAAAGCACATTATCCAATAAAAGCTTAATATGTCCCTGTTTGACATGATCTTAGACTAGGGGCAAGGAGAGAATATGCAGATGTGGGAAAAGAGGTTGTCATTCTAGGCCGGCTCATGTTTCACAAAGCAGATAACATAAATAAGTTATTGATATTTCATTATTACAGGAAAAAGAAAATAACAAAGAATAAGGGGGCAGCAATGAAAGAAGACAGTTAAGGTAGTCACGTTTTTACCAACAGAGCCAATTTAGTTAATAACAGGAAACCAATTTTCTTCAAGTTCAAATAAGTGATCCTCAAATATTTGCAATGCATAGTCTCTGTTAAAGTTCAGAATTTTCAGTCTTTGGTTATTCTGAAATATATTATCTTTTGATGCTTCTGTGCATAATCATAATATATGTTTTGATATTAATAGAAATCAGAAAAAAATGAGTAAAAATCAGGACAGAACAAAAGGGGGATTTTAAATACACACTTTTGGGAAAACGGTAAAGTATTCAGAAATGCCAAATTATTGGTAAGGATGAGTGGTATCTGATTAAAATATTATCTTTCTAAGCTCTGAGCCTGCTGCAGGCAAACATGTCATTTTGAAATGATGCCTTATTTATAGGAAGAAGAGCTTCATGAATAGCTATTTTACATAAAAAATCATTCACAGTGAAACTTTGTGAGGTTTATTTATGGGAAGCTATATAGTGTGGAGGTTAAGATCACAGGCTCAGATGTATCTAAATTTTGAAACCTGGTTCCACCATTTACAGATTTTAAGATCTTGGGTAAGTTATTTACTCTATCTGTACCTCAGTTTACTCTTTTTTTGAAGACAATAATACTGCATACCTCACAGATTGCTCTAAAGAGGTAATAAATGAAGTAATAAAAGAAAAGCAATTAGCTCTGCAAGTGCTCAGTAAGCTACAGAAGAGTTACTTTTTTCTCCCTCCAGTGGAAGTGTATAAATGTAGGCAGACTGCAAAATGATAGCCTTTTATTAGTGTTCTGCAAAACAAGGTGTAGATTATTTAGCTCTTTAGTTAACTTGGTGAATATAGACACCAAAGATATGAGAATTTTATCTCCATAGTGCATTTTTCAAGTTTAGAGAAGGGCAGAACCATCAGATATTTCTCTTGGTCTAGCATGCCCAAGAAAAAAGGGAGAGTTGGAGCAAAGCCAGGGAGAGGCTGGAGATAAAGGTGATGGTGGGGAGGTGATGCATGCTTAGCGTGTGGTCCACAGGGCTGCCCTCTGCCCACAAAGGGTAATGACTTCTGTTGGCAAAGATTTGGGAGAAAAGGGATTGAGATAAAAGTGTAGAAGGTGTCTGCCAATGCTAAATCACTCCACAGTTGTGTGGTTTCTTTAGAATTGCCCTTGCTTATCATGGAGTATCTTTCACGAGTTTTGCCTTTTTTTAAAAAAAAAAACAGACAAACAAAAAAACAAACCCTGATTTCAGACATCTGACAGATTATAGTTTATCCACCTATTAAAGTTATCTCTAAATTAGGAAATTCCACAGGCTCCAGCTTCTCCTTAAAAATTGTATAGCAAGGAAGGTCCCCCCCCACATCTAATTCCTATCTCTCGACACACACACACACACACACACACCCCCCACATACACACACGTTTTCCCAGATTAGACAAACGTTTTCTAACTATATGCCTTTCCTATGAATAACTGAAGGGCTACTGGAAGTTACTGATTTTCAGTTTTTTTGCATTGACATACTGATTTCCTCTTCTTCCTTTACTAAAATGGTTAATATCTATTCACCATTCTTTGCATAACACCCCATAGATTTGAACGTCTAAGTCAATTGTCAAGGTGTTAGTTGAAGTCCAAGTCAATAATCCAGTATTTTGTTTTGTCCTTTTTAAAAAAGTTAAATTATATCTTTTCTCTTATCGTTTTCATTCATTTAGCCAATGAGATTATTTTTGTATATTAGACTTCATTCAGTAGAATAGTATTATTCTAATTCAATACATTAGTATGATGCTGAGCCAAATCTAAGCATCTTTCATTTTGTAGAAATGTAACCCTTCAGATAAAAATCTGGTTCAAATTGATCATTTATATGTGGTTTGTATGTATTTATTTATTATTTTTATTTTTTTGAGACAAAATCTCACTCTGTTGCCCAGGCTGGAGTGCAGTGGCATGATCATGGCTCACTGCAGCCTCAACTTGCTGGGCTTAAGCAATCGTCCCTCTTCAGCCACCTAGTAGCTGGAATTACAGGAATTACATGAGTGTGTCACTGTGCCTGGCTAGTTTTTTTTTTTTTTTTAATCATCCATATATAAGGTTTTAAAAAACAAAGTGAACTATTTGGTTATTAATGTCCTCAACTGGGATTCAACACGTGGTATTGAAAATGCTAACTTGCTATGTAGTCTCTTTTCCCTTTTTTTTTTTTAACCTTAGTTTCCTTTTCCTGAACTTAATGAAGATTCTAACTTAATGGTCAATTTCAGTAAACACAGCTGAGGTGGTTGGTACACCTATTTGATTCCCCTTTACATTAAAAAATAAATCTAATTAAATAATTGTATTTCATATATGTAATCTTTTAGAATAATAAATTTATTTTGGAAGCTGGCAGGGCATCATTTACATAGAGGATAAATAATGAATTCTAAAAATTTTTGCAAATTACTTCCTGTAAAATGCAAAGGAGATGGATGGACTGACTAGCATACTTTCTGGATTTAAATTTCTATTATTATGACTGGTTTTGAACAACTGTATGCAACCTTTCCATCAGAAAAATGAAAACTGGTTTATCTTAAGTTAGGGTTTGAGTAAATTCTGAAAAATTTTGGTCTTTAAAAGAATCATGAAGAAGTTGCATTTTAAATATCGTCTAGCAATATAGTGTCTGATAATTTTCAGTCAAGAGATCAGGAACACATTTTCAGGAAAGAAAAATCCCTGCTTTCTTGAATGGTGTCCCACATCACTTCTCTCACCCACCTGAAACTTTGCCTATAAATTACATTTGTCATCACAGAAATCAGAAAAACGTAAACACTAAGATTATGGTGCAAAGATGAAAGCCATTGCCTTTTTTAGAGTAAAAGAAGCTTTGTTAACCTAGAGTAAAAGAAGCACAGTTTATCTAGAGTAAAATCTCAAGGGATTAGCCACTGAGTTAAGGATGCAAGTACAGCAGTGCTTTTCAAACTTTAATGGGTTTACAAATCAAATAGTGATCTTGTGAAATGCAGATTGTGATTTAGTAGTTCTGAGATGGGGTCTGAGATCTTATATTTCTAACAAACTCCCAGTACTACCAATTCTACTGGTTTGGGGTCTCAGGTAACAATAATGTACATAACTCTAATATTTGGGGTCAAGTAACGTTAACATTTTTGATATTAAATTTACAAATGTTTAGAGGTCACTGGCTTTCCTAAACATTCACAGACTAAAGTTTTGATGGTTAAGGTGTGTGGTGTCAAGCTACTATTTTCAGCCATAAATTGTCCCTTTACTGAGAGAATTTGTTTACTGGAATGAAACTAAATCTAACACACCAGGCCAACTGTGTCTACAGATTTGTGCACATAGGTTTTGGAGAAAATAGAGAATTTCTTTATGTACCTGTGCTTTTTAACTTTCTTTATTTTGGATGCTCCAGATGACCCGATATAATCCAGGGGCAGCGGTAGAAAAAAGTTGGCTGCAGCAAGTTTATATGCTTTTTATTTTTTTGAAACAAATTTATATAGACTGTTTATAGATAAATATTGTAGAAATATTTAGTGGGGAAATGGAGACATTCATTAATAAGGAACCATTAAGTCATTAAGTTAATGTAAAAGCTGAGAAGACTATCACCATAGAACTGAAAAATATTTTTTATTTGTCCCTCTCCTTGAGATGTAGCCTCAGCATTGCTATTGATAGTGACTTTATTACGTGAATTCCAGAGCACAGCTCAAAATCTGTTCCCTTGTTGATAATGAATAATTTGTAAACATAATATTCACAATTGTTAAAGCTTTTCAAAGGCAATATAGATGGTATTTCAATACAATCCTAGTTAAGACTGATTTCATTCAAATCTAATGTAAAAGCCTTACTTAATTTTATAGAGGAATGATAATATTAATTACAATTTTATATGAAAATTTAGACATAAAAAGTTAAGAACACAAAAGTTGTCAGGAACAGAGTTGAGAATAGGCTGGTTATCTCAGAATAGTGTCCTGTAGATTAAGGATGGATCTGCCTTCCCAAGCCCACTGACTCAAATGTTAGTCTCTTTTGGCAACACCCTCACAGACACACCCAGGATCAATACTTTGTATCCTTCAATGCAATCAAGTTGACACTCAGTATTAACCAACACAAGTCCACCCTTTGTCAACCTGAACCCATACACATCTCCTGAGATCATACATAATCTTCAAATGAAGACAATAATGAGGTTGTAATTATGCCTAACATAATACAACTATCCTTTGTACAACCAGAAATGCACCAATCCCCAACCCAAAAGCTATTACATAAAGTTAACAATACTTAAATGCTGATGTGAAGTCAATAAATCTTATGTTACATAATAAAGGAGAAAGGAAATAAAATTAAGACTTTTTTTTTTTTTTTAAGATGGAGTCTTGCTCTGTCACCAGGCTGGAGTGCAGTGGTGCGATCTCTGCTCACTGCAACCTCTGCCTCCCGGGTTCAAGCGATTCTCCTGCCTCAGCCTCCCGAAAGCTGAGATTACAGGCGTGCGCCACCATGCCCAGCTAATTTTTGTATTTTTAGTAGAGACGGGGTTTCACCATGTTGGCCAGGATTGTCTCGATCTCCTGACCTCATGATCTGCCCGCCTCAGCCTCCCAAAGTGCTGGGATTAGAGGCATGAACCACCGTGCATGGCCAAGACATTTTCTTAGTACAAGTGTATACATGCACAAACATGTTTTTAACAAAAGAAGGAAACGCTCATGACAATTACAGTTCTCGTTTCTGCAGCTGGTCATGTGGTCATAACTGGTATTGATGACTACCTTCTTCTACTACCCATTCTGTATTCCCTTTACCTTCAGCAAGTATCTCAACAGGTCGTGGTTTTTTTCCTGATGGAGAGACCTAAACCTTCATTCCTGAAGGGTCTGGACCATTTGTAGTCCTGCCTGGATTGGGCTGTTGTAGTTTCCCATTGACCTTAATAGCAGGGCATGGTAATACTGAGTCACCCTAATGGATCTCCTGTATTCCATGCGTACATTTCTTTACCTTGGTTATGGAGTAGTAGACTGATTTCATCTATAGTCTGAGGCAATCACAGCAGCCAACACTGTAGCTCCCTTCTTTGCCTGTTTACTTAAAGGTAGAAGGACCCCAAAGTGTCCAGGTGGCAATCTTAACTTCCAGTTTAATGGGATCGTTGTTGCAACTCCTGGTGGCAGCTTTCCTCCCTCTGGAACTGAGGTCTCTAGGCCAGCAGAATGTAATGTTGCGGGAACAGGAAGCAAAAATTTTGCTAGTGGATCACTAGGGGTGATGGCGAGTGGTGCCACTTCCACTTCCACCTCTTGATTGCTGAATCCGTGAACTCTGGCTATGGGAGGAAACAATACCATATATTGGATGCTGATTCAGAGCATACATGGCTTTCTGGAGAACTTTTCCCTAGCCCTGCAAAATATTGTCACGTAGTTGGCATTGTAATTGTGACTTCAAAAGACCATTCCCCTGTTCTATCAATGCAGCTGCTTCAGGATGATGGCAAACATGGTAAGACTAGTGAATTCCATGAGCATGAATCCACTGCCGCACTTCTTTAGCCATAAGGTGAGTGCCTTTGTCAGAGGCAATGCTGTGTGGAATATCATGACAGTGGATAAGGCATTCTAGGAGTCCACAGATGGTAGTCTTGGCAGAAGCATTGTGTGCAGGAGAGGCAAACCCATATCCAGAGTAAGTGTCTATTCCAGTGAGGACAAACCTCTGCCCTTTCCATGATGGAAGAGGTCCAATATAACCAACTTGCCACTAGGTTGCTGGCTGATCACCCTGAGGAATGGTGCCATATCGAGGGCTCAGTATTGGTCTCTGCTGCTGGCAATTGGGCACTCAGCAGTGGCTGTAACCAGGTCAGTCTTGGTGAGTGAAAGTCCATGTTGCTGAGTCCATGTGTAACCTCCATCCCTGCCACTATGGCCACTTTGTTCGTGGGCCTATTGGACGATGACAGGGGTGGCTGGGGAAAAAGGCTGAGTGGTGTCCACAGAACCGGTTATCCTATCCATTTGATTATTAAACTCCTCCTCTGCTGAGGTCACCCGTTGGTGAGTACTCACATGGGAAACAAATATCTTCACAGTTTTTGACCACTCAGAGAGGTCCATCCACTTACCTCTTCTGCAAATTTCTTTGTTACCAATTTTCCAATCACGCTTCTTTCAAGTCCCTGACCATCCAGCCAAACCATTGGCTATAGCTCCTGAATCAGCATATAAACACACATCTGGCCATTTCTCCTTCCATGCAAAGTGCACAACCAGGTGCACTGCTCGAAGTTCTGCCCACTGGGAAGATTGCCCTTCACCACTGTCCTTCAGGGATGTCCTAGAAAGGGGCTCTAATGCTACAGCTGTCCACTTACGGGTGGTGCCAGCCTGTCATGCAGAACCATCTGTGAACCAGGCCCTAGTCTTCTCTTCCTCTGTCAACTGATCATAGGGAACTCCCCATGAGGCCATCGGTGCAGGCTTGGGGAGAGAAGGCAGGGTGACAGGAGTGGAGACCATGGGCATTTGAGCCACTTCCTCATGTAACTTACTTGTGCCTTCAGGACCTGCCCAAGCCTGATCACGTATATACCACTTCCATTTGATGATGGAATGCTGCTGTGCATGACCCACTTTATGGCTAGATGGGTCAGAAAGCACCCAGGTCAGAAAGCACCCAGTTCATGATAGGCAGTTCAGGTCACATGGTGACTTCATGACCCATAGTCAAACGTTCAGTTTCTACCAAAGCCCAGTAATAGGCCAAGAGCTCTCTCTCAAAAGGAGACTAGTTATCTAGTTATCTGCAGAAGATGGCAGGGCCTTGCTCCAAAATCCTGGAGGCCTTCACTGTGATTCACCTATGAGAGCCTGCCAAAGGCTCCAAACAGCATCCCTAGTTGCCACTGACACCTCAAGCACCATTGGATCTGTCGGGTCATATGGCCCAAGTGGCAAAGCAGATTGCACAGCAGCCTGGACCTGTTGCAGAGCCTTCTCCTGTTCTGGACCCCACTCAAAATTGGCAGCCTTTCGGGTCACTTGATAAATGGGCTGGAGTAATACACCCAAATGAGGAATGTGTTACTTTCAAAATCCAAATAGACCCACCAGGTGTTGTACATCTTTCTTGGTTTTGGGAGGGGCCAAATGCAGCAACTTATCCTTCACTTTAGAAAGAATATCTTGACAGGCCCCACACCACTGGACCCCTAGAAATTTTACTGAGGTAGAAAGTCCCTGAATTTTAGTAAGATTTATTTCTCATCCTCTGGCATGGAAATGTCTCACCAACAAGTCCAGTGCGTTTGCTACTTCTGGCTCACTGGATCCAATGAGCACAATATAATCAATGTAATGGCCCAGCGCGATATCTTGTAGAAGCGAAAAGTGATCAAAGTCTCTCTGAATAAGATTATGACATAAAGCTGGAGAGTTGATATAGCCCTAAGGTGGGACAGTAAAGATATATTGCTGGCCTTGCCAGCTGAAGGCAAATCACTTCTGTTGGACCTTATGGACAGGAATGGAGAAAAAGGGATTTACCAAGTCAATGGCTGCATACAAGGTACCAGGAGATGTGTTAATCTGCTTAACTAATGAAACCATATCTGGTACAGCAGCTGCAATTGGGGTCACCACTTGGTCAAGCTTACAATAATCCACTGTCATTCTCCAAGATCCATCTGTCTTCTGCACAGGCCAAATGGAAGAGTTGAATGGGGATGTGGTGGGAATCACCACACCTGTGTCTTTCAAGTCCCTGATGGTGGTACTAATCTCTGCAATCTCTCCAGGGATGCAATATTGCTTTTGATTTACTATTTTTCTAGGTAAAGGCAACTCTAATGGTTTCCATTTGGCCTTTCCCACCATGTAGCCTTCCCTCACCCTACCAGTCAGGGAGCCAATGTGGGAGTTCTGCCAGCTGCAATTATGCATTCTGGCACTGGGGAAATGACCACAGGATGAGTCTGGGGACCAACTGGACCCACTGTAAGCTGGACCTGAGCTAAAACTCCATTAATTACCTGACCTCCGTAAGCCCCTACTTTAACTGGAGGAACACAGTGACATTTTGGGTCCCCTGGAATCAACATCAGCTCAGAGCCAGTGTCCAGTAGTCCCCAAAATGTCTAATCATTTCCCTTTCCCCACTGCACAGTTACCCTGGTAAAAGGCTGGAGGTCTCCTTGGGGAAGGATGGGAGAAAGATTCACTGCATAAATTGTTGGCAATGTAGTGGAGTCCTTCCTCAAGGGCACCCAGCCTCCCCTTCACTCAAGGGGTTCTGGATCTGTAAACTGACTCAAGTATGGAAATTGATTGAAAGGCTGTGATTCTCTGTTTTATAATTCAAATTAGTCTTCTGTCCATTCGACCTAGAAGTTTTCTGTTTGTAAAATTTAAGTAGGCATGCAGTAGGCTTCCTATCAATTTAACTTCTGGGAACACTGTGATTAATTAGCCAATGCCAGAGCTCTACACAAGTCAGACTATTCTGATTGCTGCTTTGCCTCTGCTGACCATTACAGTAGCTACACCCACCTTGCCTTTCACAGTTGAGTGCTGCCACTTGGCTCCTCCCACCTCGGGATTCAATTATTCCCATTGTATTTAAATTTTGTAGTTGAGTGACTGCGGTTCCCACCATTAGATCTGACATACAGAGAAGAACAATTACAGGGCTCTTCAAAGATGCAGGTGCTGCCCTCACAAATTTATTTTGCAAGAGATTGGTGAAGGGTATATCTTCTGTCTGAACCCTCCCAGCTGGGATGAGTAGGTCTAAAGTGACTAATCCACTCCACCATCCCAATCTCCCTAAGCCTTTCGATCCCTTCCTCTACATTAAACCAAGGGAGATCAGGCATTTCCAGCTCGCTCACAATGGGCCATCATTTAATCCATATTTCAGCTAACCAAACAAATAAACTATTATAATCTTTTTTTTAACTCCCTGAGCTGCAACATTAAATGCAATGCAGAGTCCCTACTTAGTGGGCCCAAATCAATAAATTCAGCCTGATCCAATTCTATGTTCCTTCCACCATTATCCCATACCCCTAATATCCATTCCCATGCCTGTTCTCCAGATTTGTGTTTATATGAATTAAAGAACTCAAACAGTTCTTTTCAAGTGTAGTGCACCTCCTCATGGGTCACATTCTCAACCTCACCTCTAGGGTCCACTGGTAGCTTAGTCTCGTTATATGTCTGGAAGCAAACAGAGGTGTTGGGGGTGGCTTCTGAGGAGAATCAACATTATCTTGTCTGGCAATTGCCTCAGGGGAGGCCATCGCTGTTGCCTCAAGCAGCACAGGGTTTGTCTCCTCAGACAGAGGTGGAAAGGCTGATGGCAGCATGGGTCAGGAAGGGGATGTTGCCACTACTGGGGATGGGGAAGCTGTTTCTTCTGGCAAAAAAGGTTCATCAGAATTTACAAATTCAGTATCCCCAGCTTTATCAGGGTCCTCCCACACATCCCCATTCCAAGTTGCAGGGTCCCATTCTTTTCCAATCAATGCCCTCACTTTAACAGTAGACACCTGGTGAGGCTGTGCATGCATTTTTCATTGCAGGTCAGCCACTCGCACGATAAGAGCTTATATCTGTTTTTCCACAATTTCAGCTTTTTCTCTACAGGAGATAAGACTCACTCAGGGCAATCTTAGCAGATTTGAGGCTCAGTATCTGCTTTTGAAGCCAGGAGACAGAATCCCTTCATTCATCATTTTCTTTCATCACTTTGTCCACTGAACTTAGGAGCAACCAACCAGCTTCATTATGTTCCTTGGTTCTCCACATATGGTCAAAAGTATTATGTATATGGTCACCTCACTCTGCCTGTCATGAGCAGTGAATCAGGAGTGTCAAATGGATTTATTTTGTATAACTCTCTAAACAGTTGCCGCTAAGCACTATCAGTGTTCTCTATACTATTAGTAGTAGAGTCCCTAGCATTTTTGGGTCTAATCATATTAAGCAGCCAACTCCAGAAACCCCAAAACCAATGAAAGAACTCCATCCTTAATATTCTGTTCCTCTAGAACCACTGCTGCTACCAAAATCTGTATTAGTCAGGGTTATTTTACAGGGACAGAACTAATAGGATATATCTATATCTATATCTATATCTATATCTATATCTATATCTATATCTATATCTATAGCTATATCTATCTATACAAAGGGGAGTTTATTAAGTATTAGCTTACATGATCACAAGGTCCCACAATAGGCTGCCTGCAAGCTGAGGATCAAGGTAAGCCAGTATGAGTCCCAAAACTGAAGAACTTGGAGTCTGATGTTCAAGGACAGGAAGCATCCAGCATGGGAGAAAGATGTAGGCTGGGAGGCTAGGCCTGTCTCTCCTTTTCACATTTTTCTGCCTGCTTTATATTTGCTGGCAGCTGATTAGATTGTGGCCACCAGATTAAGGGTGGATCTGCCTTTCCCAGCCCACTGACTCAACTGTTAATCTCTTTTGGCAACACCCTCACAGACACACCCAGGATCAATAGTTTGTATCCATCAATCCAATTAAGTTGACACTCAGTATTAACTATCACAGACTGAGAAGAAACCACTTGAGGGAGCATAGGGAACAACAAGAAAAGGGCACAAAGAGCTGGGATTAGTTCTTGTTCCTTGCAGCAAAAGTGGAAAACCTCGTAATTCAAGAGACATCAGATAGAGTATTCAAAAAGTCATTACCTCAGAAGAGGGGCAAAATAAGCCCTAGATAAATTACTTCTTTCTAATACTACCTCACAAAACTTAATAGACAGACTCAGACAGATAAAGTCATTTCAGGTAACATAACTATGACCAAGACCAACATTAAGGAATACTAATAGAAAAACAAAAATATCTATCACCCACCATAAATGATAAAATCATGATGTCTGGAATCTAATAAAAAATGAGTAGGCATGCAGGGAAGCAGGAAATATGACCCATAATGAAGAGAAAAAAACCAATCAATAGTAACAAATTCCAAATTGACACAGATAATAGAATTAATAGATGAGGACATTATGAAAGTTATAGTAACTATATCTCATATGCTCATGAAAATTGAGGAAAGATTGAGCATGTTAAATAGAGATACGGAAGATATGGAAAAAAACCAGATCATCAAATTTCTTTAGATAATGAATGCATTGTATAAACTAACAGCAGTTTAAATATGACAGAGTAAAAAAAAAAAATCAGTGAACTGTAAGGCATAGCAATAGAACTATGAAAAATAAAACACAGAAAGAAAAAGGGCCCCAAATAATGAACAGGACATTAATGATCTGTGGGACAACTTCAGGCAGCCCAAGCACATGTGGAATTAGAGTCACCAAAGGAGATGGGTTGAAGGAATAATTATATGAAGAAATGAGCGAAATGTTTCCAACCCAAGAAAGTCAATAGGCCTCAAGTTTGTCAAGAAAATTATATCAAGGATATAATATTAAAATGACTTAAAATTATTAATAAAGAAAACTTAAAAGAAATTAGAGAAAAAGAGTTTGTACATGGCACAAAGTTAAGCAACTTTTTTAAAGTATTGGAAAAATAACCTCTCACCCTAGAATTCTGTATCAATATCTTCCTTACTACTCAAGAAAAGGGATCTCCATCAAGTACTACTGACACTTGAACAACACAGATTTGAACTGCGTGGGTCCACTTATCTGTAGAGTTTCTTCCACCTCTACCACCTCTGAGATGTCAAGACCAACCCCTCCTCTTCCTCTTCCTCCTACTCAGCCTAATCAACATGAAGATGATGAGGATGAAGACCTTTATAATGATGGATTTCCACTTAATATATAGTATATATATTGTCTCTTCCTTATGACTTTCTTACTAACATTTTCTTTTGTCTGGCTTACTTTATCAGTATATAGTACATATAACATACAAAACTGTGTTAATCAACTGTTTGTGTTATCAATAAGGCTTCTGGACAACAGTAGCTATTAGTAGTTGTGTTCTGGGGGAGTCAAAAGTTATATGAGGATTTTCAACAGGCGAGGGTTCAGTGCCCTTAACCCAGTGTTGTTTAAGGGTCACCTGTAGTTTGGAATCAATTAGGAAAGCATGGAGTCCTCCCTTTTCTTTCCTTCCAAGCTCTTCCCTTCCTTTCCCTTCATTTTTTTTTTTTTTTATAAATACAAGGTTGGGAAAAAGATTTATCTTATGCATATCTATTAACTGGTAGTCCTGAAGTCTGGTTGTAAAGGAAGATATTTACTCCTAGGAATCATAGCGGTGCTTCAACTCAAACCACTGGAAATTATTCTCAGACATTATTATCTCCCTAAGATTCTTTTCTGTGATGTAAATTACTGTGCTTCACCTTCCTATGGCTGAACCCAAATAGTGTTTCACAAGAAGCTACTAATAGGGCCAGTGTGGACTTAAAACCACTTAGGACTCATAGAAGAAGCTCAAGTGGTTGGGAATGGGAAGATGAAAAAGATACAGAAAGGAGACAGGCTTTGTTTTCTCTAACATTTTGTCTATAGAGCTGTAGCTAATGAGAATCATAAGATGCATCTTAGCCTCAATGTTCTGAGAAATGTTGATGCCAGAGATTGTATTTCAACAGTTAAGATGCTTTAAGGAATACAACTTTTGTTGTTATTTACTTTGGATTAATGAGCTAATGTTAATTTTTATAGCTTTTCTAATTCCAGTAGAGTATAAGGGTAATTCCTTACAAAAAAAGACAAAAAACAAACTAACAAAAAATCCTGTATCAATAGGGTAAGTTGGCCAGGCGTGGTGGCACACGCTTGTAATCTCAGCACTTTGAGAGGCCGAGGCAGGCGGATTGTTTGAGGCCAGGAGTTCGAGACCAGCCTGGCCAATGTGGCAAAATGCCGTCTCCCCTAAAAATACAAAAAACAAGCAAAAAACAAATGAACAAACAAAAAAAACAAAAAAATTAGCCGGGTGTGGTGGTGCACACCTGTAGTCCCAGCTACCTGAGAGGCTGAGACAGGAGAATTGCTTGAACCCAGGAGGCAGAAGTTGCAGCGAGCCGAGATCGCACCACGGCACTCCAGCCTGGGTGACAGGGCAAGACTGCGTCTCAAAAAAAAAAAAAAAAAAAAAAATAGGAGTACGTTTACATTTTAGGTTCCTAAGCAAATTTTTAAAAGAGGCTAACTTTTAAGTCCAATTCCCCAGGAACATCTCAAAAGCTTCTCTTTTTTAAAAGACTCCATCCACCCCAACTCTGAACAGTGATACAGGAGCTATGGTTAAATTAGAGTTTATCTAAATTAAAAAGACCTAATTCATTTTATAAGACAACTTAACATTCATTATATTTATCTATAGTTATTGAGTAATTTGGGATCATAATAAATAATATCTAATACGAATAACATAAATGTCATAAAGGTGCTACTTACTGGAGTTCTGATAAAATGTATATTTTCCAATTTAATAAGATAAGGCATGAGAGACATCAGGATTTCCCATGTTAGAAGTTGTGAATTCATTTTTTAATTATGAGCATCTAATCTTAGATCTAACCCAATCTTAGATTTTATGTATCCGTGCACAGAAGAAATTCACATAAAAGTATATTGAAAAAATTTGAAAGACATTTCTTTTTTTCTTTTTTTTTGAGACAGAGTCTCACTCTGTTGCTTAGGCTAGAGTACAGTGGTGCTATCTCAACTCACTGCAACCTCCACCTCCTGAGTTCAAGCGATTCTCCTGCCTCAGACTCTCTGGAGTAGCTGCAATTATAGGTATGTGCTACCACGCCCGGCTAATTTATGGATTTTTAGTAGAGATGGGGTTTTGCCACGTTGGCCAGGCAGGTCTTGAACTCGTGGCCTCAAGTGTTCCGCCCACCTTGGCCTCCCAAAGTGCTGGGATTACAGGCATGAACGACCACTCCTGGCTTTCAACTACATTTTTTACAGGTATTAGTACAAATAAAGCTTATTTGGGCAAATAACTTACCACATACTTATTAGTCACGAAAATATCTTTGGTAAGTTGTGATTTCTTTAATTATTTTTGGTGTTTTGTTATGTGTTAAGGTCATCCTGTTGAATGGAGAAGAGAGGTGGGAGAATGGTTAGTGTGTGTGTGTACTTATGGTCAAATAAAAAGGTGCACATTAGCTTACTTACATATTTATACAAAAATATTTATTAGATACCAACTCTGTGCCAAACACAGATGCTGCACCATTAAATGGTTAGTTGGTTAGGGTTAGCAATTCATGTACTGGTCCTGAAACATTCAGAGTTGTCTCATTTACTTGAAGAAGTTAGAAAATACCAATTTTGGAATAGAAGAATCTCATGCTGACAGTGATAGTAGAGTTAGACAATACACATGAAAAGTTTTAAGGGCATGTCAAAAACTTAAGAGAATAATATTTTTCTTTTAAAATTGCCATACTCCCCAAACACATGGAGGAAAGTCTGTAAGATTGGATGGCAACTTGGCACATTTGAATGAATTGATCAGAAATGGAGAAAAATTCCTCAATAAGTTTCCCAAAGTAGAAGATTTGTGCACAGGAATTTGAAGAAATTAAGTGACACTGCTTAAGAACAGAAGGTAATGAAAATAAATACATCCCCTTGCACCAATTATGAAAATTAGAAAAAAAGAGGTCACATGGAGTGTCAAGTTGATGAGTTTATTTGGAAAGCAGGATTTGTGCTGGGAAGTGATAAGAATTAGTTAGTTGGAGGTGGATGGGTAAAGTGTTCTAAATGTTGGGCTTAATTTCGATTTAATAAGGAGGCCAATTCAGAGACTTAAAGAAATTTAGAGCAGGATAATCCCTTAGTTCTTCATCTTCCCTTCAGTCATAAGAAAACTAATTTTACTCAGATTACACAGCCTTGAGTGGCATTGCCAGTTGGGATCAGAACCCAACATTTTCTGTTTTCTGTGTTCTTTTCATATGCCCTGCTACTCTGCAAAACAATGCCCTATTGATCAGGAGTGGGGAGAGACACATGACTACAATGGTAATGAAGGAATACTTTGTTAGGAAATTTCTATTTTAAATACTGAAAAGAAATCAGTCTCTTTCCCATCCTTCTGCTTCTTACTTTATAGACTCTGATCTTCTAAAGGACAGTTGTGTCCCCAACTGTTTCATTGTCCAGCTTCTCCCTTGGTGAATGTGGGTCTGTAGCACCCTTTCTGCTATACAAAAGGAGCAGGGTCACTAACTAGTAGCACAGTCTGTGCCCCTTGTGCCCTAGGCCACTCTGTCACCCAAGCTTGGTTGCAGGACAACATACTTAGTGGCCTTTCAAAGATGGATGCTCCTGTAATCTGTTCCAAACCTCGGCTTAGTTATGCTGCTGCCCCTGCCACAATTTGGAATTCTCTCACATCATCACTCTGCAAATAATGGATGGAAGCTTTGGTGGAACTTATAGTTTCTGGTCTTTGATGGAATTTATGGTTCCTGTCCTGGAGCAGAAAGAAGAAAAAGCCAGAGAGTGTTATGCTTTTTAAAGAGAGTTCCATTTGTCTCTGGCAGCTACTTGAATATTCCTCAGAGTGTCTGTCAGCTGGAGGAAAAGTTAGCACTGATTTCGACATTTCCTTCTTCCCTCTCTAAGGATTTAAAAAATTTTCCTTTACAAGGTACGGCTTGAGAAACTAGCCCAGCCTCTCCCACAGGTGAATCTTATATTTCATATATAAGCCCTTCTGAATCTTATATTTTTAGGAAAGGGTGAGATATGGTCATCCTGTAGACTCTCCCTTAATACCAAGGAACCACATATGTCCTCTGGAATGGAGAGTGGGCGAATCCTCCCCTCCCCTCCAAGAGGGAAGCCAACTTCCTCAGTTCTTTGTAACCACACTTCTCACTGTCCCAGGTACATGACTTCTCAGTGGTTTTTGTCCCCAAGGCAGATAGCTACTCTCAGGGGTGTAAAGACTCTGGGCAGCTCTAATCTTCTGATTTTCATATGTATTAAATATCACAGTTTGAAAGCTTTAGAAACATTGATAAGGTTCATATTATTGTAGTTATCTTTGCCAAATAGACCTGAAGAGCTATCATGCCAGTGTCATCCAGCCTTGCTATTCCTCTGGCCTCCATAGACTTGGCTACAGTGGACTGAATGGTGGTCTCTAAAAAGATATGTCCATGACCTAACCTCTGGTACCTGTGAATTTGACTTTACTTGGAAAAAGGATCTTCGAAGATGCAATTAAAGTAAGGATCTCCAGGGGAGATCATCCTGGATGAACTGGGTGGATGCAAAATCCAATGACAAATGTCCTTATAAGAAGAGGGGAATACCAATGCCAACAGTAGAGAAGAAACATAGGGAAGATGTGAAAATGGATGCAGAGATTGGAGTTATGTAGCTATAAGCTAAAGACAATCAAGGATTGCCTGTGGCCATTAAAAGCTAGAAGAGGGCTGGGCATGGTGGCCCACGCCTGTAATCCCAGCACTTTGGGAGGCTGAGGCAGGCGGATCACCTGAGGTCAGGAGTCCAAGACGAGCCTGGCTAACATGGTGAAACCCCGTCTCTGCAAAAATGCAAAAATTAGCAGGGTGTGGTGGCATGTGCCTGTAATCCGTGCTACTTGGGAGGCTGAGGCAGGAGAATCGCTCGAACCCAGGAGGCAGAGGTTGCAGTGAGCAGAGATCGCGCCATTGCACTCCAGCCTGGGTGACAGAGTGAGACTCTGTCTCAAAAAAGAAAAAAAAAGCTAGAAGAGACAAAAGAGGGTTCTCCCCTGAGTCTTTACAGGAAGTGATACCCTGCCAACACTTTGACTTCAGACTTCTGGCTTCCAGAATTGTGAGAGAATAAATTCCTTCTGGTGTAGGTCACCAAATTTGTGGTAATTTTTAATGGCAACCCTAAAAAAACTAACCCACCAGCATATAAAAACATGGAGTATGATGATGGTAACTACTGTCCACTTCTTCTGCCCAGGTGTCAGCCAGCCTGGCCCTAAAGAGATGTGAAAACTAGATCTCACTTGAAACCTTGCAGCCACATCCTTCTCCCTGCATCTCTTGGTCTTCCCTCAAAATACAAACTTCTGCATTTAGTCTTTCCCAAACTTTAATCCCTAGAAGGTAAATACTGATTCTTGCTTCACCCATGCAAGAATTTCTACTTTCTTCCACACAGCATTGGTTATATAATTTGCTGGGCTCAATGAAAGATGAAAATGCAAGTCCCCTTGGTAAAAAAAAAAATAATAATAATAAATAAATAAATAAAATAAAATAAAATAAAATATTTCAATGCAGGGACAGGGGAGCATTAAACATTGCACAGGGCCTTCTTAAAAGTAGATCCTGAGCAAGGCATGTGGCTTATGCCTGAAATCCAAACACTGTGGAAGGCCAAGACGGGTGGATCGCTTGAGCCCAGGAGTTCGAGGCCAGCCTGGCCAACATAGCAAAACCCCGTCTCTACAAAAAAACAAAACAAAACAAAACAAAACAAAAAAACAAAACAAAAAAACCCACAAAAGTTAGCCAGGTGTGGTGATGTGTGCCCGTAGTCTCAGCTACTCTGGAGGCTAAGGTGGGAAGATTGCTTGAGCCTGGGGGGCCAAGTCTGGAGTGAGCCGAGATTGGGCCACTGCACTCCAGCCTGGGTGAGAGAGTCAGACTCTGTCTCAAAAACAAACAACACGTAGATCCCTGCTCAACTGAACAGGTCATAGACCCACGAAGCCAGCCCTACCTCCCACCTCTTAACTACTCTGACCTTGGAGAATCCTCATTTAATATTGAAAAATACCACCAACCTCATAAACTATTTACACAATGCTTTCTCCATTTTCTGGCCTTAAGTGGAAATAAGCTTTCTTCTAAGAATTATTTCCCCTAGATGTCCCTTTGATATAGACTGTTCATTGTTTCACATTCTAGGGTCACAGGGGCAGTGTTGGGATCCTTGTAACTCCCCAGTATTACTTCTGAAGTCTTAATTGTCTCTTTTACCAGTCCTTGATCCACTTACGTTTTTCCTCCCTGGATATGCACCTTCTGCCCCAACTTTGCATAGTCATCCTCTCAGTTCTGGATCAGTCCACTACATTCACGGAAGTGTTTGTTATCAAACTCACTCCTTTTTTCATTCTGGTATTACTGTTGGTGGCTTCAATGTCCATATAGTTTCTTCAATACCTTAGTCCCTAATGTCTTGATCTTCGTTCTACGTCAGCCAACCCCACCCTTAGCTCTTCCATAAACTGTCTATCTTTGTACTTCTAAAACTTCAAAGAAAACGATCCCATTTCCTGACTACAACTTATCTCTCTCATTTGATGTGGATTTGTAGTTCTTGGACTCTTCCTTCTTCTCCCCTCTTTGTCCTCACTTATTTTCCTATTTATTCTTGTTAACCTTAAAACCTTGTCTTAAAAATAGTATCCAAGCTTGCTCCTTGTCTTTTCATCACATCACTTGGCACAATCCCAAAGTTGGATTAAACTTTCTGCATTTAAAGGCATATATTTGACACAAATTCACAATTCACATGATTGTGTGGAATTACTGCTACCACCAATTCTTGGACTCAAAAACTCCTCCTTGCACTTATGGTCAGGTCGTGTCTAACATTTGCAAAAGCAGCTACTGCAAACCTTTCCGCATCTTCTCCTTACTTTCCTAGTAGAAATGAGAGGCCATCAAAAATCTTAAATCTAAATAGACAAAAGCATTCTATAAATAGTGTTCTTATAAGTCATTATTTGGTCTTAAGTGTGGAAACAAAGTTAATACTTATTCATTTCAAAACGGCCTGTAGAGTACCTACTTTGTGAAGGTACTATTCTAGGTGTTGAGGATATGGCCTTCATGGGCCATACATTCCAGTGGTTCTGATGATTTCATATGTAGGTTAAAAGCTTAGCAGTGAGGTCTAGTGGTTTTCTCACATTGATCCCAAAATACAGATTTTACAAAGCAAAATTTTCAAGTATAGGAAATACACTTGCAGGATCATAAAAATCCAATCATGATACCATAATTCATAAGTTCAAACATTTTAGTATCACTCTCTGTCATAGTACCTCTAAAATAAATAAACCTTAGAATAATTTGCCCTAGATAATAAAAATATATGTTATTATATAATATAATAATAACAGGCCTTAGCAGTATGCCAGATAATAAGTTTTAAAGTTACACTAATGATATAAATAACTCTCAGTCTCTTTGATTAATGCTTGTGTAACCACACAAGTAACTATATTTTTATTAGGCGGGTGCAGAAGCTACTGCAGTTTTTGCCAGTACTTTTTTGCAATTACTTTTGCACTAACCTAATACAAAACAAAATGTGCCTACATCACAATTCAGAAAAATCACAGCTTTATTAGCAGAGTATAATTTAAGGAAGTCAATCAATCCTGAAGGCAGAAAGACCTAAGTTCAAAACTGATTTGGAATCTTCTCAGCTATTTAGCCTTGTTCAAAGTATCTAACCTTGCTGAACCTCAGTTTACTATCTGAAAATAGAGAAAATTATTACTATATTGTGGAGGTATGAATATTGAATAATTTAAAGAACTTGATTGTACTACCATTAGCACACACTGAATAAAATATTAGTCTGATTATATTTTCGTATTTCCATATTTAGGCTTTTGCCTAAAAAGGGAATTTGGAAGTGGTCATTGGCAGGTGTCATAGGCTTTGGGTGGCAAGTCAGAGCATAGTATGAATGAGCAAATTAGTAAAGACTAGAGATAAGAGAAGACTTTGAGTACTAATTAAGAGTTTCAGGAGACCAGAGGAGATTTTAAGACTTCAGTGAGAAACCACTTTCTCAGGAAGCAGATAAATTAATTTTATCAGCAGTATCGTCGTCCATGTAATATGGCTTTTAAAAAGCACAGTGAGACCTTAGTAGTAACGACTTTATTTTTCTTAGTGAGAACCTGAAAGTGAAACTTGATATACATTATTTTCTGCTTTTATTGCACAAAAAGTTGTTTCCATTGCATATTGCTTCCTAATCTGTTAAAATAATCTGTTAACAAACTCGAAGACCCAGATTCGGGGCGTAGATAAGCCTGTGTACCTTCCTACCTTCTCCAAACAGCCAACATTAGATCAAAGGGCAACCTTAATGACACCTGGAGCACAAACCCTGCTCAGGGCGCGTACAACCGGAGGGACAGAAAACACGATGCGACGTCGGAAAGCAGGAAGGGAATTGAAATTCCCGCAGTCACGTCACAGAAATCTTAGCAGAACCTCATCATCGCCCAAGGGAACTGGGAGTGGCGGGCGGGGAGGACGCGGGTTGTGTGACGATCACCGATAATTAGTTGGTGGTTAACGCACAAGTAGGATAAAAGAGCTCGCCCCAGGCTGCCAGCAGAAAAAAGCTACCGTGGCACGTGCCCCGGGGAGTGATGCGGTGGCCCGGTTTGCACGGAGAGCGGGACACCGCCTGGGGAGCCGCGCTCGTAGCCTGGGGGCGGGACGCGGCGGCCGCTCCCTCCGCCCCCGAGTAGCTGCCACCGCCTGGCTGCGCCCCAGCCCAGTAGCTCAGACGCGGCCGCATCCCGGTGGACTGTAGAGGCGGCAGCGAGCTAGAGCCCGAGTCGCAGCTCCGGGCCGCAGAGCGCTGGGCGAGCGCGAGCGCCAGGGCACCGGCAGGGCAGGCAGCTGCGCGCGGCTGGTACGTACCTGGTGGAGCGGGCGCGTGAGTGGGTGTCCCTATGCGAGGAGGGAGGAGTGGGACTTGGGAAGTCGGGGGAGACTGACCCAGGGAAGATGTGGTAAGTGCAACTTTCCTATTTTCTGCCCTGCTGGCACAAATATGGGGGGAGTTCGAAGCAGATGCCTCTTTCGCTTGGGCGACCCGATCCATCGTTTAACTCACAAGTCAGGGTACTTAGAGAGTGAAAAGGACGCTCACGCCAACAGGCGTGACGTGGGAGGTCTGTCACCTGCCTTTTGCCCACTCTGCCCTGCAGGTGGCCATTGATGACCTCCTGTCACAAGTCGCTGAGTCCTTCGGCTCTCGCGCCAGCAATGCCAAGTCTTTCCCCTGGGCGGTGCTTACCAAGCCCCGGGTAGTCACGAGCGGCCGCGGGGTTAGCAGAGACCCGAGTACTAACCCGCTCGGCCAGCGTCCGGCTGTGTGGCTTTAGCCAAGTCACCTCACCTCACTGGCCTCCGTCCATTCTTTGGATAAAATATGGAGGTGGGTAGACCGAGTAAACTCAAGGGTCGCCCGTAGCTATTGGATTTTCCCTGCTCCTAGGACCCCGGCAGGCCGCAGGGAGGGACACGAGTGCCAGGTGGTCGCGGGCTGAGGGAGCGGAGGGCCTGTGTTCCGGTTGGTGCTGATGCTAGCCCCTTGGGGAAATTCCTGAAGGTGCATTTCGGAGCCAAATGACCCTGCCTTGCAGCAGGTCCCTTCCAAGGGAGCTGAGAGGGCCAGGTCAGACCGGTCTTCGTAGAGCTCCCCGGGGAACGCAGCCAACGGAACTCGGGTCCTTTAGAAAAGTGCATGCGTGAACTAGGCATGTGGGAAGCACTAAAACAAACAACAAACAAACAACAAAACACCCTGCAGGTGGTAGTGTTATTAGCTGGAGTCTGTGCAGGACTGGAAAGTGGAGATTTGAGGCGAATGACCACTTAAACGTTCATCTAGAAAAAAAATTTTAAAAAAACTCTTTTATCAGTGGTTTGCATACTGAAAGGTATTGAATTAGAAATATTGCGAGTATTGCATTTCTCTTCGTGTACAGATAGATTTCAAAATTCATCTGTCCACTTTATCTCTTCACAAGATGCCTTCCTTCTTACTGACATTGCCACACATTCAAAAAAAATCCTCCTGGGATTTTATATTTAGAAAGCTCAGCATTTGGATTATTAAAATGAGAACTGATGACCATAATGCTCACGGAAAATGGGGTAGGTTATGGATCAAGTTTGGTTAAATCAGCAGTTTATAAACCTTGTTTCCTGTTAGTGTGCCGGGTGCTGGTCAATGCCCCCCTAGTGACACTATCTCAAGAGATCATTTGCTAAAAAGGTGTTTTGGAAGTTCAAAAGATTCGATTTTGAAGGAAAGTATAGCTTTGGAAAGGAAATCTTTTGGAAAACGTTTTTAGTAATGGACTTCTCAATCTTATCTTTACCACAACTTTCTTCAATAAAATATCAAAGACTAATGGACCACATTATGCAGAATATTTTAAAATGTGTCAAATTTCATTTTTGTTAAAGAGTTTTTCCTCCTTTTTAGTCGATTGCAAACATATTGTTTAGATCAATGATAGATCAATTTAATTTTCCTCACAGTTCTTACAATTATTTAAATTCTTACGCAGTTTGCATTACAGCATTTTTTTACAACTTTATTGAGATATAATTTATATATTATAAAGTTCACCCTTTAAGGGTGAATAATATTTAAAAATTATATTTCAGTGAGTTTTAGAAAATTTGTTAATTTTCTAAAAGTTGTAAAACCATTACCATATCTGGTTTTAGAACATTCCAAAATTGTAAAACCATTACCATATCTGGTTTTAGAACAGTTTACTCACTTGGTAAGATTCCTTATGTCCATTATGTCTTTGTTCCCACTCCCATTCCCAGGCAACCATTAATCTACTTTCAGTCTATAGATTTGCCTTTTCTGAACATTTTATATAAATGGAATGATATACTATATGGTCTTTTGCTTATGGCTTCTCTTACTTAGCATAATGTTTTTGGGGTTCAGCTATGTTGTGGCATGTATCAGTATTTCATTTCTTCTTATTGCTGAATAGTTTTCCATTGTATGGATATACCACATTTTGTCAATTTACTAGTGGATGGATATTTGGGTTGTTTCCAATATGGGAATATTATGAATCATGCTGCTGAGAACATTTGCATTCAAGTGTTTGTGAGTACCCGTTTTCATTTCTCTTGGGTAGATGCTTAACAGTGAAATTGGTAGGTTGTATGACAAACTTGTGTCTAACTTTTAAGGAACACTATAGAGTAATTTTTGTAGAAGTTATATATATAAAAATTTAAAAAATTCTGGAAAAATAAATGTTTCTTACTGGATCATATATGATGTTATATGTATATAGAGAGAGGCTTGGGAGAGGAACCATTGCTTCTCTTCAAATTTAGAGCTGAGGTACAGCAAACACTTTTGAAAAAAATGTCGCAATATTTCTCAGAAACGAGATATTTCTTGCCTAATGTTTTTTAATGCTAAATGAGCATGAATCAGGCTTAATCAAGACTAAATTTTCATTAATGTCAATTGAAAATGAGAAAGCATGCAGTTTGAAAATTGTATTTTAAGTGTTGAGACTTAGCCAGCTCTGAATGGCTGGACAATAAATTCGGTGGTTTTCCATTTCTTCAATGCAAAATTTTAATTGAGTTAGAAAAAACAAAATTATTCTTTCCTCAACATCAAAAATAAACTATACGTCTTGTGAACTATATGTCTTGTGATAAGCATTGTTAATCATGATTCCATATAATTATTTTAAATAATAATTAAGCATATTCTATTAGTAGATTTAGGGATCTAAGGCCCAAGAGTAAGTGATTTCCATATACAAAAATCACATATTAGACCAGGGCTCTGGTTTTCCTGTTTTAAAACTTCCCCCATTAGTACATGTTCCTCTAAATCCTGTTAGTTTCAGACATTTTCATATGTTATATGTACTTTAAAAAAGTCATTACCAGGTAGTGACATTACATGGAAATAATCTAGGTTAAGCACTTGAACATCCCCATAAAATCAAAGACAGCTACTATTTTTTATTTTTATTAGAAGTACAACTGGTTTTGGCCCTGCGTGGTGGCTCATGCCTGTAATCCCAGCACTTTGGGAGGCTGAGGTGGGCGGATCACAAGGTCAAGAGGTAGAGACCATCCTAGCCAACATGGTGAAACCCCGTCTCTCTAAAAATACAAAAATTAGCTGGGTGTGGTGGTGCACACCTGTAGTCCCAGCTATTTGGGAGGCCGAGGTAGGAGTATCGCTTGAACCCAGGAGGCAGAGGTTGCAGTGAGCTGAGATGGCACCACTGCACTCCAGCCTGGTGACAGAGTGAGACTCCATCAAAAAAAAAAAAAAAAAAAAAGAATTACAGTTGATTTTGAGAAATCAAATGGATATGCTACTTTTTACTGAACTGAGGTACACTTTTTATTCTAGCAAGTGGCAAATAGCAGTATTATGTGCCCAGAGCAGAGTGGATTTGTGTTCTTCAGTCACTCCTAGTTGTAAAAATGTGACATTGCCCAAGAGTTGGGTGCTTGGTTGGAGAAGAGAGTTCAGAGATGTTTAGATAAAAATAAAACAATCTAGATTTGCATAATTTCCTGAACGGGAAGAGGTATTCTCACCTAGAATCCTGGATCTGTTAGAAGTAGGATTTCTCAGATTGGAAAGAGGGCCAAGGAAATGGAGATTCTTTAAGACAATGTGGTCTGTAGCCAAGATAGTTTTAATGTAATTGAAGAAGCAGCAACAGAAGCATCTACAGACAATATGAATGGAGCTGGATTCCTTCCTGTACCTCCCAGACTCTCCCTTCCTGCAGTCTCTGCTTTCTTCTAAGCACTCTTATTGGCTATGCTGTTGAAAGTATTCTTATCCCCGTGGGGGTGTGGGAGTAAGCATCCCCATGGGGGTGTGGGAGTAAGTAAACTGTAGGCTTTCTTTTTTTTTGGATAAAGTAAAGGGAGAACTGAAGTCCAGTGTGATAGCTTCAGGAATAAAACCATGGAAGACAGGAAATAATTAGGTAGTCTTCTCAAGCATGCTTATATTTTAATGGTCACAAAATAATTTATATCTAGATTAAATTTTATGGATTGAGCTAATACATCTCAGAAGAAGAAAACACCATTCTTAAAATTCTTAAAATCATAAAATCTTAAAATCAGTGTGTGTGTATGTGTATGTGCATGTGTGTGTAAAGAGGGCTTACAACTCATGCAATTACATTAGTGTATTACATTAGTTTATTTTATATTTTAAAATGAAAATAAATACCTCTACCATGGAGCTTCTGGAGCCAGGTATAATATTAAATTTTAAAATGCTGAAATAAGCCCTACTTTTCTCACTTTTCCCAAAAAGGCCTTGAAATCTAATGAAAAGCCAGATTATAGGTATGGTGGATTTTGTTACACTCCAAGGGTTTGCAAAAAGTCTATCAAGCCAAAATTTATAAACGCCAGGACTTCACAGAAACCACTCTTCTTTTCAGTTCCATCATCCTTGAAGAAGGGTGTCTATGATAATTCTGTGTATTGTAGTGAAGTAGTAGAACTTTTTGCAGTAGTGAAAAGAAAAAAAAAATTTTTAAATATGTCTTTCTAACATGCCATGAAGCTGTGCATATGTATATACTGTTGTAATCCTGGGGAGGTTTCATCTGAAGGCTACTGGAAGGACTGCTCTAGTAGGCCAAGCAAGAGATGCTGAATGAGTCAGGGCAGCAGAATTAGGGATGAGGAAAAGTATTCAGATTCTAGAAATATTAGGAGATGAAAATAATTGAGTTTGATGGTAGTTGGGATATGAAGTTAAGAAGACATGAGAATGAAGAGTGCCTCTCAGATTCTTGGCTTGAAGTGAGAGCTGGCACAATTTACAAACATGCAGGTTTAAGAATGGGGCGACTTCATGGGTGTACTGAGTTGGATAATGTCTCCCCAAAATTCACGTCCTTCCTAGAATCTCAGGATATGACCTTATTTGGAAATAGGATCACTACATATGCAATTAGCTAGGATGAGGTCATACTAGAGTAAGGTGGGCTCTTAACCCAATATGACTGGTTTCCTTATAAGAAGAGGCAAGAGACACAAAGAGAAAGACACATAGAGGGTAGACAACATGACAATGCTGGGGGAGATTGAAGTTATGAAACTGTAAACCAAGGGATGCCAAGGTTTGCTGGCAACCACTAGAAGCTAAGAGAGAGGCATAAAACAGATTTCCCCTCTGATTCCACAAAAATGAACCAACCCTACTGACAGTTGATTGGATTGCTGCCATTCTGAACTGTGTGAAAATAAATTTCTGTTGTGTTAAGTCACTCAGTTTGTGGTAATTTGTTACAGCAGCTCTATCAAACTAATACAGTGGGTGTGAGTAAAAGATACATTGGGGTGAAGATATCCAAGAAGCTGTTGTATAACAAGCTCAGAAGATGCAGATTGAGTTGACATTGGCATGCAGTAGGTAAATATAATGATGAGATCTCCTATGGGAAGCACATGGAATCAGAAGGAAAATGGGAGAAAAATGAATCCTGGGAAATGAGTTCCAGTCAGAGCCCAAGAGGAGAAGCTGGAAAGGGCATTGTCATAGCGACAAAGGTATGTAGAGCTTCAAAATGTGTGGCATGATCAACAAGTCATAGACATAAGAGGACATAATAGGAGAAGGGTTGAAGGGACTTTTGTTTTGACAAGTAGAAAGCAAGAGTAATGGCTTTATGATTGGAAGGTTGAAGCCAGATTGTGCTGCGTGAGAAGGAAATGGAAAGTAAGGAGATAGGATCAGCTAGTGTCCAGTAGTCCTCCCAGGATTATAGGTGAAAGATGGAGGAGACGGTTCGGTATGCAGGGAATCACGCGACACAGTGTCCAATTAATTTTTGTTTAATATTTAAAGGAAAGCCTTTGTCCTATCTTTAGGAGTCATTAGTGTGGGAGAGGCTGTTAAGTATAGAAAAGACAATTTATGGAGCTGCTTTCCAATAAAGGGGATTGGGTTAAGGACGAAAGTGGAGGCCTTGAACATACAATGTTTTCAATCTGTAGTAGAAGCTTGAGATGTTTTTAAGGGTGAGTAGTTTTTTTTTTTCTTTCTATGGAAATAACTGTTATGCTAAGAGAAAGGAAACTACTGTTTATTGAGCAATCTGCCAGACCCCTAGGGTTGGAGTCTGGTGGATTGATCAATAAATAGTAATTTGTAGCACATTTTCACTAATTTCGTTTATTCTCCAATCTGTGAAGTCAGTGTTACTGCTCTATTTTTTAAGACGAGTAGGCAAAGAGAGTATCTATTCAAAGTCATTTAATAGAAAGTGGCAGAGCTGAGATTAAAAGCCAAGTTTGATTGATGCTTATTTCTTAAATCTACAGCCTTTCTACCCTTCTAATTTGAGCTCAGTAAAAATGCCCAGCTAACTCACTTATATTGGACCTTCTTAGCCAGTGGCTGAGCACACACTCAGGTCTCATTCTCAATATCCCTTGTAAATATGGCTGCAAAGAGGCAACAGGTTAATGGGTATTGCATCTACCGTATGCACTACCTAATGTGGTCAAAGTTCTACACCTCTGAAATCAAACAGTCATTTCAGGTTTTTCATTTATTTGTCCCTTATGGATTCAACCATGTGGAAATACGGGGTTGAGGGGAGCCATTTTTATTTATTTCCCTCAGGGAGTGGTGGAGAAAGTTTTTAGGGGAAGTGAGGAATACTTTTCTGGCACGGTAGATCTGGGTCAGCTCCCTGAGATGCTTGTGGACTTTTGCCAAAGAATATTAAGCTTCAAGTAAAACCCAGCATAGTTTGTTTCAACTCTGAGAAATTCATATTTTGGGTTCTAGGTTTGAATGCTTTGAAAGGAAAAATAAACCTTTCAGTATTCAGTGAAACACTGGAGGAAACAAAACATTGTTTTTACTCATAGATATTTATTTTTACCAACTCTTTAAAAAAGTATTTTAATTTATCCCAACTTGATGAAAACTTTTCATATTTTCTTTCAATAATATTATTGGTCTTAATTGTCAGTTGATTTGTTTTCTTTTTGTAGGTTTTTGTTTTAATATGACTCATCTGAAATACGAATTAAGTTTGATGACAACAGTTTAGGTTATGTCTAAGTATATCTAGAATTATTTTACATAAGGACTGTTAAAAAGATTTACTTTATTAAGTACATCAAGATGTTTTTTATTTTAATTCTCACATGCATCCATAATTGTTTTAATATTGGGTATCTTCCAGTTTTTGTACATTTGTAAGGATGTTTTTTACATTAATGTAACAATGGTGTACAGTTTGTATCCTACATTTCTTCCTCTTAAAATTACTATTGCCAGTGTAAAAATGAGTAGAAACAGAAAATTAAAGAAAATAACATTTCTTAAAAGAATGTATAGTATCCTATGAAACAGTTTTTGGTTAGATAAAATTTCAGATCATAAGGATAGGAAACACTTTCTAGTTTGCTGAAAGGCTACATTCTAATTTCACTGCACCCTGTGGTAATCATTGATTTAACTCAGAAATGAGAAAACAAAATAAAAGAGAAACATACCCAAACGATTAAAATTCATTACTTTAGCTATTAGCAGTATTTGAAAGTAGAATTCAACTTTTCAAGGGCAGTATGTGCTTACTGTTATAAATTCTTCACCAAGAATCACAGACATGAAAATACCCTCAAACATCTTTTTCTTTCTTTCAGTCTCATCTCTTTGTCAACCCTTTATCATTACATAATAATGAATTATTCCACATGTTACTTTCTGGGCAAGTAATGTTTTCCACTTAAAATACTACCAAGTCCTAACCTTTAACATTTTTTAATAATGTTTTAGAGATAATATACGTTGCAATGAAAATCAGAAATTTCAGAATAGTTTTAAGAAAAAAAAGGTCTATTTATATTTGATTTGTCCACTAACTAGAAGTAATCACTATAAAATTATTCTTTGCATACACATAACTTTTTAAAAGACAAAAAATTATCATATCATATTCCCTGTTTCCCACTTAATAAATCATCTTAGTATAAATTACAGTTTTTTAATGGCTCCATTAACTAATTTTCTGGTGACGCTACAGAAAGTTACCAAATTCAGTTTTATAAACAATAGCATAGTAGATAACTCTGTTCATAATTTTGATACATCATATACACCTATTTGATTAATTCCTTTGAATAAATTTCTAGACATAGAATTGCTGCATCAGAGGATGTTAATTTTTAAAGAGTTTTGATATATTTTACAAAATATCTTCAGAAAGCCTGTGCAGTTTACATTCAAAATAATACTTTTACTAACATACTAATACAGTTTCAAAAATTTGAAATTTAGAAATCAGTGGGAAAATATAGCTACATTTGTATTTCTTTGATTGGTAGTGAGGCAGAATATTTTTAGTTATTTTTATGAATTGTTATTTTATATTCTTTGCCTGTTTTTTCAATCTGTTTGCAAGAGCTTTTTATTGATAAATATATCAACCTTTTGTATGTCTATTTTACAAATTTTAAATGTTTTCTTTTTACCATTAATGATTTAGGGTGCACTGCTTTGTAGGATACTTAATTTTTTAAGGATGTCAAAGTTATCAATCTATTCTCACGTAGTTTGTGAAGTTTAAGATGGCCTTTCCCACTTGTAAAAGTATTCACCTACATTTGCTTTTAGTACTTTTTACATCTTTTGTTTCTATTTAAAATTTTAATCCATTGGCAGTTATTTTAGTAAGAAATAAAGTGGGGATCTTACCTTATTTTATTATTATTTAATGGCTAGCCTTTTTTTTTTATAGCTATTTGTCCTATAATGGATTCCCTCCCCATTGATTTGAATAGCATCCTGTGCCTTCTCACCCCCGCACCTGCCTTGGAACTTACCTTTCTCATAGCTGTCCCACTGTTAGAATGCGTTAGAATGCAGACATGACTGCAGGCTCTTTGACTGCTCCCCCTTCATCCACATCTGCCACTCACAACCTGAGCCCTAGAAGGAAAAAAATTTCTATAACCCTTGTCATAGCATCCAGCTTTCCTAAATTACCACATTACCAGTTTTGGAACATATAATTTTGTTGGTCCTGAAAAACAGCTAATTTTCAAATGCTTCAAAGTCTCTGATTTTATCATTCACCTGCTCATTTTTTCTCTTTGTGTTGAAACTTTGTTATATGTTTTGCTACCTCCCCCTTGACCCAATGTCTCCTTTGTATTCTTCCTTCAAAACCATTCCATCATGCTACCTGGAACAACTGTTCAATAATAATAAATTAATCTATATTATTAACTTCCACCTTTTCCCTTAGCCCTGAAGCTTGACTCTCCCCTGGGTATCTTACTTCTCCTTAAGCCCTTCCTATTGGAGACTGTTTATTATTTTCAATTTTATAATCTCAGAGTAGTAGAGGGGGGCACATTCCCTTCATGCCCCCATATGCCACCTGTACAATATTTTTCCACCCTCTTATACTCACTTCCGCTCCTTTGAGCACTCTGGCTATACCATCCTCTACCGTTTCTCATTTCTATCATCAATGCTGAGGGTTTAGCACCTGAACAAACCCCTCCTGTTCTGAACACTCTAGTAATTGGTGTACAGTCATCTTCTCCCATCCTTCTTCTGTCCTAAATCTGGTGCCTTCCTATGTACATCCAATATCGTGACCTCTCACTTACCATGTGGTCGTGTGTGTTTTTTTGAATTCCCAAATGTATTCAGAAGAGAACCTAGTTAAAGAAGCACAGACTCAGAAGTATATAGAGCCGAAAAGCTCATTATAGACTAAGAATTCTCTCTTGGTTTCTTAACACAGATAGGCTAATAATTCAGCTTTCCATTGATCAGAATTTGTGTTGCTTGGTTTAACTTAGACAATCGTTTACTGCTAGTATCAAAATATTTGAGAATATTGTTGCATAAGCATCTGTGTAGAATCAAGAAGTTCCACACAAGGCATGAAAGTGGTTATACATGTCTAGCTCCTGAGGCGGTGAGGTAAGAGGTTGAGTGGCTTTGTGACACTATGCCTGGCTGCTGCATTCATGGATTTTTGTGCCTTGTTTGCTCGTGTTCCTATTTAATTTTTTAATTAGTATGTTGAGGGAGGCAGATGTTGAGTAAATGCTGTTTTGTAAATTTTTAATTAGGATTTTTAAAAATTGAAATACCTTTTTTTGATTTTTGTTTAGCTCTAAATGTTTTGTTTTATATTATTTTCCCTATTTTAGTTGCAGCAAAGATTTCTGCATAAACTACTTCAAGATTTGCTTATCTGAATGAAAAGTTATCTTCCCTGAGACCAGATCCAGACCACCTTTTGATGATTTACTTACCTGACCATGTCGTTCCCTTGAGTTTCTTGTTATTATGATTATAATAAAGGGAGTACAAGCAATCTGGTCATTTTAACCTACTACCAGATGGATTAGATCACTGCGGGATATTGGCTTATTTACCCTACAATGACTCATCACAGTTTAGGAGGAAGAAGACCAGCTTAGAGGTCAGGAGATTTACTTTTGTAGTTTTTGGTTAATTACTTTACTACCTGTCTCTGATATTATAGGTTAATGGCTTCTGGGGGGATTAATGAGATTAGAAACAGAGAGATGCCCAATCCTTATTTATTTTACAATTTTGCCTAGGAGTACCGTTCCCTAATCTTAATAAATTATAGTATAAATACCTCCTTGATGCTAAGGAATATGCCAGGTCTGAGGAGATCAGGTTGAACTGAACAAGGTTCTAGCCCTTCAAGAGCACAGGATTAGTGTTGGATAGGTAAATAACTGCAAACACGATGTGATGAAAGCCACCATAGGAGTATGAATCAATTACAGATGTGTCCAGAGGTGGTTATAAGTAATCTAATATCAGGAATGGTTTCTCTGTAGAGGTGATGCTATTGTTAGATCTTGAAAGATAACCACTAGTTTGCCACATAAAGGGGAAGGTGTTCTAGGAAGAGCAAAGAGACTCAAAGTGCAGCATATGTTTAGGGAACTAGAGTTAATTCAACATAATAGAATGTGGACACTAAGGGACAGTGACAGGAGATGTAGCTGGAAATTTGATAGGAAATAGATTTAGAAGTGCTTTGCCTATTATGTTAAATAGATTGGACTTGATTGAACGTTTCAAATTACAGGAAAAATGGAATCTTATTTGTACAGTGGTGTACTGGCTGAAAGCCCATGTCCCTCAGAGCACATGTCTCTTCCTCCATTACAGAGAAGTAAAGGATATTAGAGGAAATATGGGGAGGGCTGGACTCAAGTTCTGAGTGGGTAAATTTTTAGATGGATTGACTCGGTGGTTGCCTTCTAAGAAGTAAGTCACATATGGATTAAAGAAGCATGACTAATTTAGATTTGTTGAATTTGAGTTAGGGTGTGTGGAACTAAGGAGAAGTCAAGACTAAAGATATAAAGTGTGGGTTTAACTGTGGATAATTGAAGGCCCTTCCTAGAAATTGCTGTACTTAAACACGAGTTATGTGTTAAAATATTTTAGGAATAAGTTTGCCATAAGAATCATGTGATTTAACTCTTAAATTATGTTTTTCCCCATTTTTTTGTGTTAGCACAAACTCGGTAAATAGCAAAATTCTATAAAATTATGGAAACTTTCAAAGTCATAATTTAAAAGGAACAGCCTTCTTCATTTTTTTTTTGTAAATACTTAGACTATTTTTGCCAAAGATTTTAGTTCTGATGCTTTAGTTTTTCTGACAGCTACTCCAAAGATTCAAGGATAGAGTTTAAATGAAGGATACATTCAAGGGTATCCTTTAGGTAGGAACTAGCTCTGCTCTGATTTTTATTTAGCTATCATTGGAGAACATTCCGAAAAGTGTGTGTATAGATTATGTAACCAGTCACTTAGGGCCCCTGACCCCTTGTTAACCTGGCCCTCTTGAGAGACAGTGAGCTGGGGGTGCACTGGGAACAGCTAGGTCAGACGCAGCCCTGTTGCTTAGCAGTCCCCATGGATCAGTCATAAGGGGTTGTTGCTCAGCAACCAATGCTCTAGTGGTGCTTCATCCCCCATGGCATTTTGCAGTAGTGGGGGCTCACCCCTACCGGAGAAGTAGTACAGTCTGGCAGGGTGCCAAACATCCCCACAGGCATGAGGGTTCTTAGTAAGTATCTGACCTTAGAATCAGAGAAGATAACTTATGTTCTCTGAACGTGCAAGTGATTTATGGAATTATTGATGTAGATTTAATTAAACATGAACTTGGGGCAGGGCAGGTAGTTCTGGCAGCTAGAGTTCTCATTTCAAATACTTTGATTTCAGTTTCTTTCTTCTTGAGGCTTATTTGCAAGGTGAGTTTTCTGGGTCAATGCAAAGTAATTTTTTATGCTGCATGGAATACGTAACTTTCCAATTAGCACTATTAAGCCAGAGCAAACATTTATGTTTGAGAAAACCCGCCAAGCAAATTCTTACTTTGGTCATGTGGGCCTGAATGTCAGAGTATTTGATTTAATATCGATAAAAGAATTTGCCACTAATATTTGAGATATTCTTTGAATTTTCTTTCTGTGTAGAAAGGTCAGAAAATAACAATTCACAAGGATCACGTCTTATTTTATTTTTAATATTTAACACAGCACATAAATTACTCTTTAGGAGAGTTGACAAAAAGTTGAAACTAATTAGCTCTTGTAAGGAAGACTGAGTTCTGCCAGTGTTGAGCAATGGGTTCTTCTTAAGATCCAGGCACATATTTTAAAGATCAAGACATAACATCATCAGTATGTTGAAGTAATGCACAGTTGCATCAAAGGCTAAAATGTGGAGTAGAGAAATGTGCCTTGTCAGATGTGAGAAATAATCTTGCCAGCTCTTTCCCTCCCACCACTTTTTTATTCAGTACTTCTGGCCTTGGGCTGTAACTGTTTGCCTACTGATTCAAAGGGTGAGGAGGCATGGCTCTGTTCTGTATACAAAAGGGAAGCCTCTTTGTTGGCTTTGAGATCTGTACTCTCTGTAGGATCTACATTATTAAAAAAATACTTAAAAACTTGAAAATTTCCCTCAAGCCTTGCACCCAGACACTTTACACGCATACATATACACAAATATGTTGAAGATCATTCAATTCAAGTTATTTCTAAGGTATTACCTAAATAGTAATAGAACAATTAAGTTTTTTTCTAAGATATACTGAAAGCTACTTTTAAGAGTGATTTTTTTTTTTACTGTTTCTATCATATATTTCATTGGCAGGAGCAATCTGTTTATCTTTCTTGTGTAAGAGTATTAATAAATCTAAAACATATTAAACACAATATGTGCCAGGCATTATTCTTTGTGACAAGAATTCAGTATGTCATTTAAACCTCCTAACAACTCTATGTGGTAAATACTATTATTATAGATATTTTTACTTATAGGGAAGTCTAGACTGTTCCAGAAAGTTTAAGTAACTTGGCCAAGTGTACACAGTAAAGATTTATAATCATTAAGTCTGTCTTCAGAATCCATGTTCTCAAACATGACAATATATTGTAAGTACCAAATTATTTCAGGAGGGCAACTTAATCAAAATCCAAAGCAAACATGTTTGTAAGTTATAATGGTATGATGAAAGAATGCAAAAGGTTGAATATTACAAAATCATTTAGGTAACAAGTTTTGCTTATTTTATTCTTTGGGCCATAGTCCATAGCAGGAAACCTTTTTGATCAAGCTTCTTTATATCCATCACATTCTATGAACATGAAACATAAATTCAGGGGGCATATTAGCACTCTTGTTTCTCTCCAGTATAAGATGTGAAGACATATTGTCTTTGATATAAGATATAAAGGAAGAGGAAATCCTTAAAACTTAAAAGAAAACTTAGAGGTAATGAACACGTCTATGAACTGCTTTTGAGTCAATTCTCCAAAAACATTCATATTTCTTAGAGCTTTGAGATATAAAGCAAAATATTAAGTATCAAGGAATGGTCATTTAATCATAAGAGAAAAATCATATAGAGGAGAAAATATATATAAAATCCAGATCAAAAGTCCAAGAATATTGTGAGGCACCATGATGTGTAGTGGATTAATTGTGGGCTTTAGAGTTGAACAGAGCTGAATTTGAATCCCAGCTCTGGGACTTATTAGCTGTGTGATCTTAGGGATGCATCTCACTATCTTTAAGCTTTGCAAAAGATCCACTCTGTGATAGACTAATTGCAATGATTAAGTGGACTAAAATGCAAGGTGTCTACTAAGGTTCATGATACAGAACAGGTGTTTATTAAATGTCAAAATCCCTTTATCTCCTTTTCCTCCTGACAGTAGCAAAGTAAAAAGAGGTTTATCCTGGGGACCTGAAGTGTGAAAGGAGTTTCACAGTGGAATTAATGGGTTAAAGTTTGTCAACATTTTTAAGACTTTGAGTCAACTTTACTAAACTACTATGTAAAAGCAGTTGCGCAATGCAGATGTTACCTTTTTAATTAAGAAAACCTGATTTTACCTTGCCTATTAAAAATGTTTATGGTTTTGACTTGAATCTAAGAAGACAATTAGATGAGATGTTTAACTACTTGTATAAACTGATACCTGAAAGATGAATATATCTCTAATTCTTCGTCATTTTTATCAGTTCCTTTTTATTCATTCTTCACCTGCTGAGGCTTTTAGTACTTGAATAAAAAATTTCAGATAAATTGGATTTTGGTCATTTCTGTATATTTTTAAATCAACTAGTCTAGTTCTAACCCTTCTTTCCACAAAAGTGGGTCTGTGTTTCCTCCATTGTATCTACCACATGGTAGATAAAAAATTTGCCCATGAATGTATAAAGCAGGTTATTTGCAATTTTATGTAAATTAAAAAGCTATGGGGCCTGGCTTGGTGGCTCATGCCTTTAATCCCAAGACTTTGGTAAACCAAGTCAGGAGAATCGATTGAACCTGAGAGGCGGAGGTTGCAGTGAGCTGAGATTGCCCCACTGCACTCCAGCCTGGGCAACGGAAAGACTCTGTCTCCAAAAATAATAATAATAATAATTAATTAATTAATTAACTTTTTTTAAAAAGCTATGAAAATGTAGCAGTTGCCAAGGTTAGTTTAAAAACTGTCACAGTTGTAGAAATCAAGCATATATAATAGGGAAAGAAATAGACTACAGATTAGATTGGCCAGCTTCAGTGGCTCATACCTGTAATCCCAGCACTTTGGGAGGCCTAGGCAGGTGCTTAGCTTGAGCCCAGGAGTTTGAGACCAGCCTGGGCAACATGGACAAATTCCATCTCTACAAAAAATACAACAATTAGTCAGGTGTTGTGGCATGGGCCTGAAATTCCAGCTACTCAGGAGGCTGAGATGGGAGGATCACTTGAGCCCAGAAGGTCAAGCCTGCAGTGAGCCAGGATTGCATCACTGCACTTCAGCCTGGGTGACAGAGAGAGATCCAATTTCAAAATATAGATAGATAGATAGATAGATAGAGATAGATTAGAAGTCAATGAAATGAAAAATTAATAGTAGGTAAATCAGTTGAATACAATAATGCTAATTTTGTTGTGAACACTTACTAATCAATATACTTTAGTGGTTCATATTTTCACAACTGTATAAATTCATCCTTTTTGAACTTTATGGAGCAAAAGTGAGTGTAAAACACATTTGCAAATATTCTTTAAAGTTATTATTTACCTTTTGCTAATACGAGTAAAGATTTATGAATTTCCATTCAATGATCACTTATTGAATACCTACAGTATATTGTCCTAAGTCCTGCAGATAGTTGAATAAAACATTGCCATTCAAGATGTTCACACGCTCTGGGGAAGACTATCAAACACAGCTGTAACAGAAAGCATCAGAGAGTCATAAGAAGAATGATTTTGGGGCAGAGATTATGATTAATAACAATCTGGAACAATTCCTAAAGCTTCACAGAAGATGCGGCATTTGAGTTGGGCCATTAAGGATGGCCCACAGCCTTCCAGGAAGAGCAAAAGGAAATGTGCATTCTGGACAGATGAAGCAGAATGTTTTTTGTGTGGTCTATTTGTGTTAATCTTTTGCTATTTATTGCTAGCCCTATGTGGCCAAGGGATCCAAACAACCACATTTTATCACCACTTGTACAAGTTCTCATACAAAGGAAGCACTCAGTAAATATTGTTTTTTAATATATGAATGAATGAACGAATGAACACACAGATCCTTCTTAATATGAGATGATAACTTTCAAATAAAAATTATACCACATTGAGAGTTGTTTTTCTTTACCTGATAACAGCTATGCAATTCAAAGGACAATTTAAATTTTCTAAACTCTGAGTAACAATCATCTCGGCCGGGCGCGGTGGCTCACGCCTGTAATCCCAGCACTTTGGGAGGCCGAGGTGGGTGGATCACGAGGTCAGGAGATTGAGACCATCCTGGTTAACACGGTGAAACCCCGTCTCTACTAAAAAAAAAAAAAAAAAAAAAAATTAGCTGGGCGTGCTGGCGGGCGCCTGTAGTCCCAGCTACTCAGGAGACTGAGGCAGGAAAACGGCGTAAACCCGGGAGGCGGAGCTTGCAGTGAGCCGAGATTGTGCCTACTGCACTCCAGCCTGGGCGACAGAGTTAGACTCCGTCTCCAAAAAAAAAAAAGAAAAAAAAATCATCTCACCAAATTTTAACTCCTGTGGGTTTTAGTCCTAGCACTCTGCTCTTCTCTTTCTATAATTAATTTCTACACTTTTGTTGGCTTGTTTAAATGCATGAGTTCAAATGTATCACTTCATAAGTTACTCCCTGATTTACTCCCCTGGATTTGATCAATTGAGTGTATTTACTGTTAATATTGTTTCCCATCTGCCTATTGGATAAGCCCTTCTTGGTTGAATCACACTCACTGAATACCTGAATGTCTTAATTTGAACTCATCATGTTCCTTCCAACTTTTCTTGCCAATTCTTCCTTTTCTGGATAATTCCTGGGGTGTATCTGACTCTTTTTTCTCCCTACCCAAATCAACAATCAACCCTGGCATAAATTCTTTTGACATCTTTCACATTTGTCAGCTTTTAGTCACAAACTAAAACACTTGGCTTATTACCCCAAATGGCCTTCATTCATTTTTCTTCAGTCTCACAGACAGTTAATTGTTCTACATCCTTTCTTGACGTAACATAGACACTTTCATGGTCATCCCTCATTTACTGATAAAGAAAACTTCTTTTTATAAAATATCATTAATTTATTTCTGATTAGAAAAGAACATGATTTAATTTATAAAATATATAAAATAAGGAAAATAAATAAGTAAACTCATACAAGATTTTAACTGTATATCATCTTACAGAAAACATTCATATTTTGTTATGTATGGGATTAACATATATACTTTTAAAAAACAAAATTGTGATTCTATTGTATATCGAGTGTATCCAGTTCTTTTTTTTTTTTTTGAGACAGAGTTTTGCTCTTGCCCAGGCTGGAGTGCAATGGCGCAATCTTGGCTCACCGCAACCTCCACCTCCCAGGTTCAAGCGATTCTCCTGCCTCAGCCTTCCCAAGTAGCTGGGATTACAGGCATGCGCCACCAAGTCCGGCTAATTTTGTATTTTTAGTAGAGATGGGGTTTCTCCATGTGGGTCAGGCTGGTCTCAAACTCCCGACCTCAGGTGATCCGCCTACCTCGGCCTCCCAAAGTGCTGGGATTACAGGCGTGAGCCACCGCGCCCGGCCTCCAGTTCTTTCATTTAACATTTATGAAACATTTGCCATGTCTTATGATTACATATTCTTTAAGACTTGCTGAGTTGAATAGCATTACTTTAAGAGTAATACAGAGCAAAGTCTGAATCTCTCCAGTGGGCTTCTTAGCTATGTGATCTTGGGTAAGTTACTGAATATTTTTGAGCTTCAGTTTTGTCATTTGCAAAATTGAGATCTTAATAGTTGTAATGAAGATTTAATGACATAGTGGATACAAAGTATGCCCTGTGCATTAATAGCTAGTATAAATGTTAGCTACAATTTCTGGTTTCTTATATCTAGATACTATTTCTTCCTATGGCTACATCATACTTTATTGGACTGCACCCCCAGTTAGACTTATTGCCTGCTAATTCAATCTTAAGCCTTTTGCCTGGCTTTCAGGATTCCTTATAACCTAGCCTGACCTGACTCACAACATTTTTCACAATTTAAATTCTCTCCTCTCTGTAACCAATTTCTTTCCAGTTGCATGTGTTCAGTATGCTGACTTTCACCTTATCTCCCTTACTAGAGGTTACCTAGTGTTGTTTGTGTATACAGGAAACATTCCTGGGTAGAGGGGAAAGCTGATTCCATGGGGAACTCAGCAGCTGGGATGTGCCCTCAGAATCAGTCCAAATGAGGGCTCAGTGCAGGTTCTTTATGCCCTGCAGTAACTCGTAATTGGAAGGTTTCAGTTGAGGGCCATCAACCACCAATAATCAGCTGGGGAAATGAATGGTTCAGTCCTGAAGGGGGCAGCTGGTGGCACACCACAATGTCCATTACAACTGCTTCATAATACTCTCTGTCTTTCATTGTACTTGAATAAGGCTTTTCTCAGTTGTGTTACCCAGATAGAGCTATATGCTAGATGTCAAGGCTGAAATATTGAGTGGTGATAGATAATGCAATATGTATTGCATTAACAGGAAAAGTACTACAGGCGCCAACTGAAAGAGCTAATGATGACCCAATCTGGAACAATTTGCAGAGCATAATAAAGTACTATTGGATTATAATCCAAAGTATAAAATATAATATCTATCATGAGTTCATATCATTATGAATAAATAATTGAATACATAAATAAATGAGAAGAGATAAATCTCTTGTGCAGAAAAATTCCAAATAATTTGAGTAGACACAACATCCTCAAAGAGGTAGAAAATAACTCCTTTCTTCTTAATTGTGGGCTACACATAGTGACTTCTTTCCCAAAAATACAGAGGAAAGCAGCAGGAGACAGACTAACTTTTCAGTGGAGAAACCTGACAAACACTATCTCATCAAGGTCAACATCGGTAGTGATGCCATACTGATATTATAGACCCTTGATATGATGTGATGAAAATGGCACTTTTCCTCTGTGGTCTTCCTCCCAAAATCTCATAGCCACAGTCTAATCATGAGAAAAACACCAGGCAAATCCCAATTGAAAGGCATTCTACAAAATATCTGTCAAACTATTAAGGTCATTAAAAACAAGGAAAGTCTAAGAAAATGTCACAGTAAAAAGGAAACATTATGACTACACGTAATGCGGTATCCTAAATGACACTCTGAAATACCGTAAGGGCGTCAGATAAAAACTAAAGAGATATCAGGTATGGGATTTAGTTGACAATAGCATATCAATGTTAGTTCATTAATTGTAATAAATGTACCATACTAATGTAAGATACAAATAATAGGGGAAACTGGGTATGGAACAGTATAAGAACTTTCTGTACTATCTTCAAATTTTTTTTTGTAAATCAAAACTATTGTAAAAAAATATGTTAAAAAGAAATACTATTATCATAGGACCTAGCAATTCCACTTCTGTGTATATATCCAGAAGATTTGAAAGCAGGGTGTTGAGGGGATATTTGTACACTCATGTTCATAGTAGCATTATTTATAATATTCAAAAGGTGAAAGTAACTCAAGTGTCCATTGATGGATGAATACATAAACAAAATACAATATATACATCAGAGTATTTTTATTTAAGGCTTTATTCAGCCTAAAAAAGGAAAGAAATTCTGGCACTTGCTGCCACATAGATAAACTTTGAGAACATTATGCTAAGTGAAATGAGCTAGTCACAAAAAGACAAATACTATATGATTCCACTTATAAAACTAGATAGTAAAATTTATAGAAACAGTAAAATGATGGTTGTCAGGGGTTTTGAAAAGAGAAATGGAGGTGGTAGTTTAATGGGTATGAAATTTCAGTTTTGCAAGACAAAAAAGTTGTGGAGATTGGTTGTATAACAATATGAATATAATGAGGAATACTGAACTATATGCTTAAAAATGATTATGATACATTTTATATGATTTTAACTATAATTTTTAAAAAGCACTATTAAAATTACCATTTTCAATCCATCAGCCTGATAAAATCGGTACTGCACGGATATGCTATATCTGTTTCTTTTCAGTTTATGATCCTCAGTATACTGTTTGGCTAATTACCCAGTGATCTAAAACAGTAAAGAGGTTAAGTAGGATAATCAGTATCATCCAAAAGTATTTGCAATGAATGCTCATCCAAAAGCCCATATAAAAGTTACCTGGAAACCAGCAGATGGGATGCTCATGAGAACTCAGGGGTTGAAGGAGAGGAAAGCATGGATTAGCAGCATTTTTTGTCGTTTTTATGTCTAAAATAAAGACTTCCTTGAGCTGAGGCCACAGTGCTAATTATATATTAAGGAATATTTGGTTGATATCTTTTATTTCCTCTTTGGAAACAGAACAAACAAACATCCTATTACACACACTCTACATTTCTTTCATTTAAAACTCTACAACACAATGACAGAGAATAGGGACATATTTTCTATTAGTGTCCAGTAATGTCTGGAGATATTAGCAGAGTTTGAAAAAGATGGCATTAATATCTGTGCCACATATGGCAGTCGAGTTATTTTAATTAAATGGCAGGTTCAGCCAATTGAGATTTGTCACTGTTTTGAGCTCCCTTTCCTTTTTCTCACTTTTTTAGATTCAGAATGTCTTTGACATCCAAATATATTACAGTGTAATTCCTTTGGTGCTCTTTTTTTTGGGAAGCCAAAACAAACTCTTTAGAACATCACATTTCCAAAAGAAAGCTGTAAGACTTAAGAGTGTGATCACAGATACCTCTTGGGTCTCAATCTGAATTTAGTGTTAAACAAAGGAAGCAAGTTTATACTTCTGCAGATCTTCAGGGAGCGTAATAACCGTATATTTGGAATTTCATTGTATGTGATCTTCTTTAAATGTCAGAACAACCTGGAGAGACAGGCAGGATTAATATTATTATGCCATTTGATGAACAAAGGTCTGTCATTCACCTCCAGGAAAGGACATGACTCCTCAAAATCACCAGCTGATAAATAGATGAGTTGAAACTAGAACTGAGTTCAGTGCTTCTGCCTATATGTTGCAATGCCCTTAGGACATTCTTTTACCAGTGCATTTGTAAGCTATGTGAGAAGCAAAGGAGAGAGTAATCAAACTATTTGAAAACTAACTTAGAGTGGCTAACATAATGATGTTGACATTTGGGGAAAAAGATACTTTATTTGAGAATCATAGTGAAATATCTCCACCACGTATAGTTCTTGGGTTTTATACAAATTGGAAGTTCAGTTACTGTCCCAGTGTGAAAGGTGTGTGGAGGATGGATTCGAAGGGGAATGACTCAGGCAGGGATACTGGTGAGAAATGTCATAACCCCTGGAAGAATGGGTGGAATGGAAGAAGCTATGGCTGGGGAGAGTTGAACTAGATTTGCCCATGCAAATGGAATTGGAATGAAGAGTGAATTGAAGAACATTAAGAGCCTGGAATAGATAGAATTTGATGGTTTATTAGAAAGGAATAGGGAAGAGAAGACAGCAGACAACGTTGATCCTTGAATGCATAATATAAAACTAGACTCTTCCCTGCTCTGAATAACCCTAGTATACAAGCAGAGGAATGTTGACATTACTGGCCTCACATCTAGAAAAAGAAACAGATGATCTTCATAAAATGAAAGAAACATGGCTCATTCATTTTTAACATCTAAGCATTTACTATGTGTCTGCTCAAATATGTAGACTGCCTGAGTGAAAGGGCGTCTGGTTAACCCAGTGATCAGCTGTGGCCACCTCCACAGAAGTATATACATAAATGAAAATAACTAGGTTGTTTTCCAGCTATTTAAAGCTAATAACTAGTTTTTAAATGGGGACTTTTTTACATATAAATACCTAAAAGAATATGATCTGCAAAAAATATGCAAGTTGATTGGCTACCTATTCATAGCAAAATGTTAGATTACCTCTAGATGGTGAGGCATTATGCGTAGACTGGATTTTACTGGATTCATTTCTCTCCAAAAATTCCAATCACTAGATCTTGTGATTGAGGAAAACAATGTCCTTGCTCCTTGGTATTTAAATTCAAAGATGAACGGTTGCAGGGATATATTGCTTTTTAAAGCACACATTTGAGAAAGGCTATCATTCACCTAGTGAATCTATTTTCAATGGAAATTTGAAAATCTAAAAAAAAATCTTGCTTTCTTGTTTATTTTACTATTTAGTAAGAATGTCTCTGACTGTTCATGTTACACAGTTTTAGAGCAAAACATGAGAAAGACTGCTCAGAATACAATTGATGTGTTTGAATGGTGAACAAAATAATACAAAGAAATACATTCCTTATTTATCTGGGTGTATGGAGCTGCTTACTCAAGAAAATTTGTCCTGCTCTTGCTATCAGAGAAACTGAATAAAACAATTTGGGAAAAGGAATAAAAAAGACAATGAATGTTGTTTTAACAACATGTGACATTTGGTCACTAAGTTAGACTTTTTTGTCTAAGGAACAACTTGTTCTTTTTTGCAAGAGACAAGCAACTGGAGATGTTTATCTTAATAAATCTGTTCCTGCCTTTGTTTCCTTCAGGAGTCATGCTATACTGAAAAGACACTTCATCAAGATAACTCTGGGAGAAGCAGAAAACCCTGTGCCAGGGACAGGAAAGATAGGAGTAAGTATATTTTTGTTCCATTGATCTTGGAACATATGGAATAATATATTGAAGATGTTCCTAAAAATATATTTGTTGCTATAAAGCCAGATGACAGCAAAGAAAATGTAAGGTGGGATATCTTCATTTTAGAAAACAATGTAGTTTAATATAAGATTGATAGAATATATTGTTAATTTCTAATTAATAGCAAACGATACATACTGGGACCTTGAGATACACATTTTCAACTCATATCTGCCAGGGATAAGTGAGCTTGGTTTGATATTTCCACTCTTAGCTGTGCCTACTTAAATGGTTCTTATAGAGGCAGCTAGCCCATCAGAATAGTATTTTGAAATTTATAGCCTTTAAAATAGAAGAGAAATTCATACTGCCTATCAGGTCTTATAAACTGACTGCTTTTCTTATTACTACTCTCCTCAGAGACCATAGTAATAGAATTATAATCAGTACCTACAATTAAATATTCTTGATGACACTAATAGGTGAACATAAACCTCAAGTTAATACTTGTTTGAGAGACAGGTTTTTGTGTGCTGGTATCTCACAGATATCTGTCCTATCTATCTATCTATCTATCTATCTATCTATCTATCTATCTATCCATCTATCTATGACAGATATCTGTATATATTCATACTTGCCTACACAGTAGTGCATCCTTTGAAAATTGAGGCCACATTCATATTGCAGTCTTATTAGTATTTCATAAAAATATTATCAGTTTGTAACAAGGAACAGAAAACCAAACACTGCATGTTCTCACTCATAAGTAGGGATTAAACAATGAGAACACATGGACATAGGGAGGGGAACATCACACACCGGGGCCTGTCAGGGAGTGTGGGGCAAGGGGAGGGATAACATTAGGAGAAATACCTAATGTAGATGACGGGTTGATGGGTGCAGCAAACCACCATGGCACGTGTATACCTATGCAACAAACCTGCACATTCTGCACATGTATCCCAGAACTTAAAGTATAATAAAAATAAATAAATAATAAATAAATAAATGTTATCAGCTTGGTAAAACTTGTATTTGAGGGCACCTGGACCCCTTAGTGCTACATTCTCCTACCCAGAGTGAGAACCTTGCTTCTCCACTGCAGCTTAGATGACAGAGCAAGAGAACCCAAGGTCAGCTGCAGCCTGAGGGAAGGCTCCAAAGTTCTTCTCCCCCTCTCAGATTCCTACTAGAACACAACTCCAGGGAAGCAGGAAGGAGTGGAAGACATAACATTTGGTTTAGGCTCATTGCCTGGTCTTCTTAAAACCAGTGTACAACTTTCCCATTAACCCTCTGTGATTTCATTTAACATTGGCAATAGGTTCATTCCCATGGCTCATCAGAGCATTTTTACTTTGATGTGAAAATTTAAATTTATGTCAACATGTCTAAAAATAAAAAAATACAAAAAAATTAGCCGGGTGTGATGGCGGGCGCCTGTATTCCCAGCTACTCAGGAGGCTGAGGAAGGAGAATGGTGTGAACCCGGGAGGCGGAGCTTGCAGTGAGCCGAGATCACACCACTGCACTCCAGCCTGGGTGACAGAGCGAGACTCCATCTCAAAGAAAAAAAAAAAAAGAATAGCATGTCTTAATTGAAACCTACTTTTATTATAAAATAATTTCACACAAATAATTTTACCCAAACCATTTATATTTCTACATAAACCACTAGAATCTCCATACTAGAACAAAATAAGTAGAATTATAATACGAATTAATTTTGTACTTAAGGAAAATTAAAACTAACATAAAATAATTTATTGGGTCTATATTGTGGGCTGAGTATACAGTGATTTATAAGCATAATCTTCTTTAATTCTTACAGTAACTCTATGAGGAAGGTAAGGAAGGCATGGTTATTTCCTGTGATACAAGCATACCTTGCCAAATGCACACATTTAGCAAGTGGGTGGTGAGTTAAGACTTGAGCCTAATTTTGTCGGAAGCATAAGCCTATGTCCTTGACCAGCTTGAATAGAAATGTTTGATGGGAGCTAAAACACTACGTTTAAGTGACTATAGTATCTTATTTTCATCAGCTATTTATAATCAATTACTAGAAATATACACTCTTAAGGAACAAATTATCCCTATATTCTATGAATTCTTTGAAAGAGAAAACATTTTTCTGATTTATTTAATAAGAAGCACAATACCAAAAAAGTAAAAAAAAAAAAAAACTAAAAAAAGTATCACAAAAAAGAAAATCATAAAAATTCATTGAAATACTAGCTAAATAATGTAGACATCAATAAAATAGAATACAACACATGGTGTTTATTCTAGGAATGTTAAAGTGGTTTAGTATCAGGAAACTTATTAAAGTGATTTCATAGTCTTAGACTGAGGAATAAAACCCCTATTTTAACTTCCAAATAGATTTCAAATGACATTTGATAAAATGCAACTATATTACTTTTAAGAAACCACACATACATGTAGCATAGTAATTTAGGAATAGAGAGATGTCATTAAAATATAAAACTTCTGCTTTCTGATTTCAAGAAAGCAGAAAAACCCTAGTGGCTTACTACATGACCAATTTCATCACTTATAATTAATATCATTTAACAAATTTTAACCAACGCAATAAATGTTTTAAAAGACTAATATTTTCTTCATTTTTCTTATATATGCTAGGAACTATTCTAAATGCTTTACAAATATTAACTCATTTAATCCTCACAACAACCCTAGGAGATATGGACTACTATCATTCTATTTTACAAATTAGGAAGCTGAGGCCAAGAGATGCTAAGTAACAAGGCCAAGGTCATGAAGCTAATAAGTAGCAGAGCTGAATTAAAACTCATGTGGTTTGATCTATGAGTCTTTAATCATAAATACCATGTTGTGCTGCCTCTCAAAGGTTATAATTATTAGAAAAAATGTTATATTTTTGCTAAAAATATATATTTTACTAAAAATCCCAAGAGAATTAACTGAAGAACCATTAGGGTAATGAACTTTGTTAAGTAACTATACAAAAGATAAATGTGTAAAAATCAGTTGATTTTTCTATGACAGCAACAAATAAAAAACATTTAAAAATCTCATCATAACAATTAAATATTATATAGCTATGAATAAACTATTAAAGAAATGTACAAGACTTAAGAAAATAACATCTATTGAGAAACATAAGATAAACAATTGGCTGTTAAGTATGTTATGCAGAAAGAAAAAATAGCAGTAATGAAGGTTTATATTGTATTCTTGGATGAGAATAATAGATGTTGTACACGTTAGCTTCCTCAAATTAATTTATAAAGTTAGTACAATTTCATTTAAAATCCAAAAAAGGATTTGGGAGAGATCTTGGCAAAATGATTATTAAAATTCATTTGGAAGTATGGACAGTCTGGAAAAGGCATATTTTTGAAAAAAGAAGAAAGTTGAAACTTGCTATTTCCCAGTATTAAAGCATATTAAAAAGTTACAATTATTAAAATTGTGTGGTACTATTTACTAATACAGAAACTTAGAGAAGCCAAATCAGTTTGAGAATTCCCCAAACAGATCAAAGCACATGTAAAAGTAATGCATAAGAAAGACCACATTTCATGTTGATGGAGAAAGTAATGACTATTCAAAAAGCACAACAACAATAATTAGTTAATGTTAGGAAAACATGTAAATTTGGATATTTTATTTATACAATATACAAATACTTGTCAGATTGATAAAAGCAGAACAATGACAGAGACATAACTGGAGGAAAATAGATTGGCAAATAATTTCATAATCTTGTCTAACATGACATCAAAGGCAAAAATCATAATTGGAGATTGATAGACTTGATTGTAGATATATTAAAACTTCTATACATATAAAACAGAGAAGAGACTCAAATAGCATGAACCTAATAAATGTTTGAAAATTGCTTTTTCTTGATTTTTTGAGGGGAAATGGAATTAATGAATCAATAAATTCTGACTAACATTCCAATATATTACTGTTTGATGGCTTAGTAAAGCAGAAATTTTTCTGGGATAGTACTAATTTGCTATTTTATCTCCTGAAGGCACACAGCATCACAGAAATTTTTGTGTGAAGAATACATAATATATCTTAGTTAAAAATAAAGATGAAGGCCAGGTGCGGTGGCTCATGCCTGTAATCCCAACACTTTGGGAGGCCGAGGCAGGTGGATCACGAGGTCAGGAGATTGAGACCATCCTGACTAACACACTGAAACCCTATCTCTACTAAAAATACAAAAAATTAGCTGGGCGTGGTGGCAGGTGCCTGTAGTCCCACATACTTGGGAGGCTGAGGCAGGAGAATGGCCTGAACTCAGGAGACGGAGCTTGCAGTGAGCAGAGATCACGTCACTGCATCCAGCCTGGGTGACAGAGCAAGACTCCGTCTCAAAAAAAAAAAAAATCATAATAATTAATAAATAAATAAATAAAGATGAAGTTCTAGTAAAGACCAGTGATAATATGGAAAGATGAATTGTTCCACCTAAAAAGATCAATTAAATTTGGCTTAAAGTATCCAAGAGAGTAGAGGATTTCAACAAGACAGTTTTATAATTCTTATACGTGCCAAGGCATTTTATTTCAGTAGAAATTATTTGCAACCTCCTTGAGTAATCTCTGAATTAAAATAACATGTTAAAATAAGTTATCACTAATAAAAATGAAATAATTCAATTTCTGTCTTGAATAATGCAGTAGATAATCGCAGAGGAGTGACACAATGATAAAATTTGGAGAGAAATGTTTCCTGTTTTATGGAAGTTGATGATACAAGAAAGTTTATTTGCTTCCTTCCAGAGTACTGCTGCTCCTTCAATGCTGGGGACTCAGAGGAAGTATGAAAGGAAAATGTATTATAATTAATGACCAATAATTTTTTTAAAGTTTTAATTTAGGGAAAATATTCAAGGTTGTACCAGCCTGTACTATAACAATCAACTAACACTAACAAAGTAGCAATTTTCTGTCCCAGGCCATATTAGCATAATTACTAGACTCTGAGGACCAAATATCTCATGGGAAAGAGTAACCAGTGTACCCGTGAACTTTCTAGTCTTTCTGTTCACATCCAGCCCCTATCCATGATTCTGGCCAATGCGTTGACTCCTGTTCACTGCTGTTCCTCCAGAGAGCACTCACTCTGCTTCATGTCCTCCCACTAGCAGTCTCTCAGCTGACAGGGAATCTGCTCCCCAACCTGTGTTGCCCTTTTGTTTCAGGGCTCAAATTGCCCCAAGTTCTGCCTTCAGCCATTCATCTCTTGCCTTCTAACCCCGATCATTTTCTCAGTATTGCGTTTAGCACTTCAACTCTTTTTATCCATCCACCTTAAAGAGTTTTTTCCCTTACTTACACAAGGACTGGGACTGTTAAGAAGTGGATTTTTGCCAGGCAGGTCTTGGTCCTGGGGTTTGGTTAACAGCCATCATCATTGTCCTTCCTATAAGAACTTTTAGACATTCATGAAGTTATATCCCTGGCAGATTCATCCTGCTGGCTCAGGAGATGTGCCTAAAAGTGCCTGAAACTAAAAAAAGACTACAGAATAGACCTTAGCTCTAATACCCTTGCTAAATAAACATTGATTTTTAAACATGTATCTTTATTTGTTCATAAATCTACACTTAGTACATATATTCTTTTACCACCACCAGAAAAAAGTCTGGAAGTAGTCAAAAGAACTGTGTAAAATGTTTTCTTCTCTTGGCTAATAAAGGCAAAAGAGAAACTTAGCCATTTTGTTTTAAGCACGACTAACCAAATCAAACAAGCATAACCCTAAACTTAAAGAATAAATCTTGTTAATGTTCATGCTAGCCAGACTGTCACTTTTTGAAGACTGTCCAAACACTGTAAGCAGTGAATTCTCGAGGGGAAAATGGAAAACAAAACAAAACAACCAACAAACAAAGGAGCAGAACACACAGATACCCTTGTCAAGGAGAGTAAAGGGAATATATACAAAGAATGAAGGTGATCATTAACAGATTAGCACTAATTCTTAGTGATCAAAGTCATTGTCAATTAATGTTTGCAGTGTGCCAAACTCATTTTCTCAATTCTTCATTCCGTAAGTGTTCTTTGAGTGCTTATTCCATTTACCCTGTGCCCTGCACTGTTGTGAGCTGTGGGGATCAGAGCTAAAGACACTGCAATTCTCCAGAGTCTGTGAATCACTAGCATGGAAATTTTGAACTAGAGAAAAATTGACTAGAGGAGTGTGAGGAGACCCAAAAGGTGTTATATCAGGAGTGGCTGATGTTTTCTTTGTGGAGGTCCTAGAGAAGATGCGCTAACTTTCTTCAATTACGTGAGAAATATCATGTCAAAAAAATCTGTGTGATTGAGAAGGGAAAACTAGATTTGAATGGATGGAATTAGAGGAGAAAACATTTTTGCTTAATCAAGGGAAAGGCTTCCTGAAATTATAACAAGCTACCTGTGATAACTGAGTTGATTGGTCATAAGTGGGAGGGTGACGGGTTGGTTTTGGAGGTGGGTAATTAATTCATCTCCAAAGACAAAAGTTCCAGGGTCTGTTGTTGAAACCATTGATGTGGGAAGGGTTCGCCTGAAGACAATACAATAAGGGACTACAAGGCTGCTTTTGAGTTAGATCTACCAGCTTTGTCACTTACTCTTAGGCTTTGACCAAATCTCTCATCTCTGATCCTTAGTGCCTACATCAGAGAAAAGGAGATAGTACGTGTCACGGGGCTGTGGTGAGAAGAGAAAAAAATAATGAGTGTAAATGAACTAATTCAAAATGGTTGCTATATAGTGGACACTCAATAGATGGTACTCAATTCATGGGAACTAGAATGTCATCTTGGGAAACATTTGGACTCCCTTAAACAACCCAGAAAGTTAAAATGACACCCACTAACGTAAAAAGATCCTCTCTTCTTATTTGGGATTCATAAAAACAAAATGTTTCTAAAATGTACAGTGAGAAATGCTAAACATATACAACATTAGAAAAGCTGCCAAGACAATTGTTCTACTTCATTACCATTTCCTTATTATTTACCTATTCTTAGTTGCTGGAAAGATTTTTTTTAGCTCAATTTCTACTTTGTAGTATTCTAAGAGACCTGTACTGTCAACTTCAGTTTGTCATATCAAAGAAGATCTTGGACAACACGTTGTGACATGTTCAAAGAGAGCCTGCTCATGCAAGTTGGATGAGTTTGAAAGTTGCTAGGGTTTAGTTCTAAGTATCTGTGTTGTAATCAATTCCTATTTTTCAATCATGTCGTTGGTATCAACTGTTGCATAATTTGAACTAGCCAGTAAAAAGTCCAGAAGGACTCAGGTGGTGAACTAGAGCAAGATTATGCCAACATGAGACACATAAAGCAATTAGTGATTGCCGGTAAGAACGTTAACTCAACGAACTGTGGTTCACTTCTCACATGCCTACCAGCTGCAATAATGAATATTTAAATAAATAAATATTTCAATACTGTGAGCTCACTTTTCCAGGCCTATCTTAGGTTAGTTTCACCTTCTCTTTGTTTTCATAGTCTGTGTTCTGTTTTTTATTCGTGTAATTCATATTATACGAATATGAATTTCAATAATGAGACATTTAAATAATGAAGAGAACAAAGAATAAAATCAATTTCCCACCTCCCAAAATTGACTCATTTTATTTTATAATGTCTGCTTAAAGTCTCCTTTATAAAGAAATAAAATGCAACAGTTAAGTCTCCTCTCAGAAGCTCCTATGAATTAGTATGCATTGTTCCAGTCTATTTTATATTTTCACTCATGTATTTATACAACCATTCCAATATTTAGTCTTGATTTGTGTTTTTTAACTTACAAAAATAATATCACACTTCTTTTCAAAAGATTGTTTTTGAAATATATGTAGATATATATAGTTCTAGCTCTGTTCTCCCTGTGAAATTTGTATTTCACTTGGTAAATGAAACACTTCATTTGCTATTCACATCTAGTGGCCTTCCCTACTCCTAAATTGGGCCCATGGATAGCAGAACGTTATTGCTAGAAAAGTTGGAAGAAAACATCATTCTAATTTATGGCTTTATATATTACCAGTGCTGGGAACTTTTGAAAATGGCAAAAGCTAAACTGGATGGGAAGTCAGGAAAATATGAATAAACTAGAATTTTCCCAGGCAAACCACAATGAAGGATCAGATTGCATATGAAGAAAACAAAGCTTCGAGAGGTGATGTGACTTTCTGGTGTTAAAGCCAAATAATTAGGAGGCCATTCATCTAGGGTTGTTTCTGTTTCCAGAACCCTTATACAAGCCACACCAAAAGTTAACTTAGAGGCATTCCTTGTTACTGCTTATTATTATTATTATTTTTTGAGATGGAGTCTTACTCTGTCACTCAGGCCAGAGGGCAACCACATGATCTCCGCTCACTGCAACCTCTGCCTCCTGGGTTCAAGTGATTCTCCTGCCTCAGCCTCCCGAGTAGCTGGGACTGCAGGCACATGCCATCACACCTGGCTCATTTTTTATTTTTAGTAGAGACCAGGTTTCACCATATTGGCCAGGCTGGTCTCAAACTACAGACCTCAGATGATCTGCCCAACTCGGCCTCCCAAAGTGCTGGGATTGCAGGCGTGAGCCACAGCTCCCAGCTGTTACTGATTAATTTTGAATTGAGCTTCAGCCAATCACAGACACCCAGCTAGCTGATTGATTATATAACAAGAGACCTCCCATTGAACTGTACGGAAATACATAGCTATAGTTAATCAAGTAATTTTTTTTACTTTGTTTCCATGTTCAGACTATAAAAGCCCACTGCTTAGGCTGCTAGAGCAGAGCTCTTTGAACCTCTTTCAGTTTTGATTATTCATTCTTTTCTTAAATAAACTCTTAAATTTATTTTGTCTAAAGTTGTTCTTTTAACACTGGGTTACATAGCTAGTTAATGACAGTGCTTGAAATATCCAGCCCAAATCTCAAAATCAAAATATTGCATGGGGCAAGAGATAGAAAGCTTTTCTAGTTCATTGTTCTGTTTGTTATTCTGCTGCTTATGTTTAAAAAACACGCAGAGAGCTAAGATAAGGCATTCTTAGAGACACCTCGTTAGAAAAATGAAGTCTGATACCTTGCTTTCACAATGGCTGGTAAGAGTATAGTTTTAATCTATCATTGTTTCCTTATGCTTGCTATCTCACATGCCAGGTAAAGCTATTTGCTCCCTCTTCTCACTCTATCCCATTTGTCCCTCTAGGTAGGAGAATGTGGTCTGGAAAATAAGGTGTCACTGGTGATCAGACATCATCACTTGTCTAGTGACTGTCAGCTTAGTTTTGTCCTACAGTTGTCTTGATTTCCGGCTAGTTAATGAGTGTGACATATCTTTAAGGTTTGGGTGTGCCAATGTACTGGAGACAGAAAATTGACTCACTAATTAAAACATAGCCTGAAACTTGCATGTTCAATACAGGCCTGCAATTTCCTTTACCTAGGCTTGGTCTCAGGTATTCTTCATAGTCAAGGTGATATTACTATTGTATCACTATGATTCATGGTGTTAGGACACCAAATTCCTCATTACATCTTTATTTTAAACTTCTAAACTAGTATAGCTCCTAGGATTAAAAGGATTGCAGATTTTTAATTTTTTTAAAAAAGAGGCAGTATTTAGGTGTACCTGGTAGGGGAGAGAACAAGCATAAGGAAAAATGAATAAATTAAAGCTATATTGTTACCAGCCATTTTGAAGACAAGGTAAAGCTTTTTCATTTTTCTAATGAGGCAGCTCTAAGAATGCATTATCTTAGTTCCCTACATGTTTTCTAAACATAAGAAGCAGCATAACAAACAGAACAAAGGAGTAGAAAGCTTTCTATTTCTTACCCCATGCAATTGTTTGATTTTGAGATTTGAGCTAGGTATTTCAAGGACTGCCATTAACCAGCTATGTAACCTGGTGTTAACTATTAAGTTTTACTCACTTCAAATTTGATTTTGTTTCTCCAAAACGTTTTGCACATTTATAAGATAATTAAAAATCAGCATTTTTAGAAGGCAGCTATGATCACCACTCTATCACCAATGTCACTAAAATCAGTATTCTTGATTGCCTGCTGGAAATAAAAATGTAATTGCTAAAATACTCAGTATAAGTTAAGTGATACGTTACAAGTAAAGATCTCTCATGTGTTAAGTTTCAAGTTTCACTTAATGTTCTTAATAAAATAATGGTAATTTGAATTCTCTACAAATACGTTCAGCCTGTAGTATTCTAATTTACAGATGCTTGAGAACACCTAATATTTTTGATTAACTTAATGTCAAACTATTATCCTACCTTGTAAATAGCATAGAAATTTTAACTATAGTCTTTAAAAAATCAAATTTCATTGGTAGGGAAGTGTAAATGTATGGTTTTTTTAAAACACAACATTAAAAGGTTGAGGTTATAACTTTCATAAAGATGAAATCACTATTTAAAAGCTGCACATAGACTGATTATTATTGTTTGTTTGTCTTAGAAGATGTATCTTTAAATTGCTGGAAGACATCATGAATATTTTCATTGCTAATTATTGGTAAAGTCTTTAGTATATGTCAGTTCTGTTTGTGTGGGTATGGTTGCTGTAGTGCGGCTTAAAAAAAAACAGTGCTTCATATCAGTGAAAGCTCTTCTTTGGTTTAATCTGGGTTGTGGTTATATTGTTTTTTCATATCGTGTGAGCTGATTGCAAGGGGTTAACCCAAAATGAGCCACTTCACTTAAAATTATTCTATATGTTAGTTTGTGAATTCTGTTGTTGGTATTTAAACGTACATCATAGTTTAATCATATCACATAAAGTTGTGATTTCAGGAATACTTTATATTTCTTTTGCTGTTTTTGCTTGTGACAATTGACTGGTCCACCACATAGAATTTCTTAGTCTTTCTAACACTAGGTGAACATTTGAACTGACCAGATGATTTTATGGAAACAGCATGAGACAGTGGAAGTCAAATCTCTATTCTGTACCTTGCTTTGCCCCTTTCTGGCTACAGGAGCCTCAGAAGTCATTCAGAGATGCAGCAAAGTGCAGGGGATCAAACCATTGATCGCTGAATTTGAGTCTTACTTTTGTCATTTATTATTAGCTGTGTGACAGCTAGTAAATTAACTTAATCTCTCTGTCTCTGTGTTTTCATTTGTAAATGGTATTAATATTAGTGCCTCTCCCCCAGCGTTCTTAAGAAGATTAAAGCGGTTGATATTTGTAAAGTACTTAGAATATTGCCTGTACAGCTAATTATTTAATAACATTTTAATGTGATGTGACCTCATTAGATCTGATGTCTACAAACAGTACTTTGAGTTTGAGAATTGTTATCATTTTAAGTGTTTCTTGCCTTTGTTTTCAATACATCTTGAAATTATTAAACTTAAACTGGTGAAAACATTGTTTCTATGTGGAGTATTAATGATTATACAGCTAACACTGATGATTTCTTTGTCATTTGTTTTAAATCAAGGCACATTTGCAGAAATAAAGGACTGCTTTAAAAACTAGCAAAATATTCATATATCTTAGAGTTGTATGGACTGTGACAACTCCTGTAACTGGGTTTGGAACTTGTTTCTGCATTAGGTACACATTTTATCTCCTAAAGGGTTAATGTCATTTATTTTATTTTTCAATTTTTGTCTTTATAACTGTGCTATTAGATGGCAGACTGTTTGGAAAGCTGAATTTGATTATTGCTTTTCAGTTCTTTATTGGCAGTGAAAATATTCTGCTGTTTATCACTTTTCTTTAGTACAGGTTGGTACATGACTTCTATCTTTTAGGGTTATCATACACACATAACTCTTTCTTAAATAATCCACAATCTGTTTTAATTATTCTTAAAACCTGTTAAGTTGGCATATTTTATAGGACAAAGAGTAGTGTAACTTGTCAGTATAAGAGTTGGTGGTAGAGGATGGGGTTAGTTTGTTTTTTAATGACGGCATGGTCTCCAGTGTGAAAGAGGCCATTGGAATTGGAACTTGTTTCCGCTGATGGGAGAAAGTCCAACCGAGCTAGTAGGCTGATTATCTGGAGAGAATAATGATGTCAACAGGAGGTTGTCCTGGCAGATAGGGGGTCGGAGTCCACTAGGACCAGCAAGGTGCAGCAGATGGTGTCCCAGCAGGTGGGTGGGTTGTGGTGACACAGAGTCTGGAAGCAGACAATATCCAGGCAGATAAACAGATAGATATGTTCACAGATTGTGGGTCCCAAGGATTGGGGCTGAGGCTGGGGCCTGAAATACAGGCCCTGGGAAACCTGGATAGACCAGCACAGAGGCCAATCTTGGAGGGAGTAGTGAACTACATAGGGCATTAAAGCAGAGACTCTGTTAGGTGGGGCCACGGGTTAAAGGATACTTGTGACATCCTCAGGTTTGGGGGTTATGTGGATTGGAAGGATACTGGAGCTGGGAGCCAGGAAGGTCTTTAAAGATGCTGACTTCCATATTCCTTAGTGCAGACTCATGTGATGGTCACCTTTTGAAAACTGAAAAACTCAAGTGTGTTAATTACAAAATTGTGCTTTACTTTATTACTGATGAAGAGATTAAAAGACAACTTTGATACAATCAGCCTTGCCTTTTTTTTTTGCAAAGGTCATAGTAACCTTCAGATCAGACTTAACTTCCTGCGGTTGAAACTGCTCACATGGGGCCTAGGCGAAGTGAAGCACGCAATATGGAGGTGTTATTATTCCTTATTCTGCTTAGATTTATCCTTAGGAAGAGGTTATCTATCTAAGAAGAAAGTATAAAATGAAAGAATTAGGAAGTAGATCTTTGTTTTTGACTGAAGCTTGCTTGTAATAGAAGAGAAAATTATGTGGAAGTTGCTGAAATTAATTTCCTTACAATAATATGAGTGTTAACTGGCTTTTTCCCTGACAGTCATTATTTGGGGGAATATCAGCCCCAGTTACATTATTTGGGAATGCCCTACATCAAACCAGGGCCTTCACTTCTAAGGACTAAGAAAAAAATTGAATAGTGACTCTTTTGCTTGAGTCTTAGCATTTAACAGCCTTCTATTATTGATCTTAGACTTTATGTGTACCTATATATTTGAAGTCAAAGAAAAATGAAACCCTCAAAACAAAATCTAAGCATTCTCATGCTTTACATTTTGAAATTAAATCTCCAGTTGATGTTCACTTTTA